>NT_167249.2:4421266-4581112 GCF_000001405.40 Homo sapiens | reverse complement strand
GGCCAATCATATGTAGCCAACTGTTCAAACTGTGTTCAAATAAGGATACACCCAGCTGTAACCAATTGGGTGTTTCTGTACCTCACTTCTGTTTTCTGTATGTCACTTTCCTTTTTCTGTCCATAAATCTTCCACCACATGCCTGCAATGGAGTCTCTGAGCCTACTCTGCCTCGGGAGGCTGCCTGATTCACGAATCGTTCATTGCTCAATTTGACTCTTTTATATTGAATTCAGCTGAAGTTTTTCTTTTTTTCTTTTTTCTGTTTTTTTTTTTCGAGACAGAGTCTCACTCCGTCACCCAGTCTGGAGTGCAGTGGCGCAATCTCAGCCCACTGTAACCTCCTCCTCCCGGTTCAAGTGAGTCTCCTGACTCAGCCTCCCAAGTAGCTGGGACTACAGACAGCATGCCTGGCTAATTTTTGTATCTTTAGTAGAGACAAAGAGGTTTAGTAGAGACAAAGGGGTTTCACCATGTTGGCCAGGCTGATCTTGAATTCCTGACCTCAAGTGAACCACCTGCCTCGGCCTCCCAAAGTGCTGGGATTACAGGCATGAGCCACCGTGCCTGGCCAGAAGTTTTTCTTTGAACACTTTTTTTTTTTTGGGAAGGAGTCTCGCTCTATCTCCCAGACTGGAGTGCAGTGGCGCGATCTCAGCTCACTGCAAGTTCCACCTCCCGGGTTCACGCCATTCTCCTGCCTCAGCCTCCTGAGTAGCTGGGACTACAGGCACCTGCCACCATGCCCGGCTGATTACAGGCGTGAGCCACCGCGCCTGGCCTTCTTTGAACACTTCTACGTGGAAGTGTGAGGATTCAATGAATAAGTTGAGCACATGGTACATGTTCAGTGAATATTTTCTGATTGTGTTCAGTGTTATCATTATTGGAATGATGTGAGGGTTGTGTAAGTGTTCAGAGACCAGGGAAACAACTGAAATCTTCTATGAGTCATTTCTATCATTGTTTATCCCCATTCCTTTTCTTTTCATTCATTTTTGCATTTCTCATTTTCTGTGTTATTCCCTTGCATTCTTAAAAACTTTCCCATTACCTGCTTGCTTCTTGTATTCTGTGTAGTTTCCTATGTGTTCCTCATTCTGCAGTCTTCTTCCCCTTCAAGCAGCAGACCATGTGTCAACGTATGCAGAGTTTGTGCAGACACACAGACCCTCTGGGGAGTATATGTTTGAATCTGATGAAGATGAGCAGTTATTTGTGCACCTGGACAAGAAGGAGATGGTCTGGCATCTGTGAGAGTTTATTCACACTGTGAGGGTCAGAAAATGAAGGGACCAGGGATGGAAAGGGATGGGGGACAAAACACTAAGCTGGCAGTCCTAACCCCACTGTGTTTATTCTACTCCAGGTGTCAAACTTTCTCAGCCAGAAGTTGACATAAGGAAGTCACCAGCTTCGGTCTCCTTTAAATCTCCAGGCCTAACTTTCTTTTGAATCTCTGCTCTTCAACCACAATGACTTATGTACCCCAAGACCCCTCTACCTCCTGGCTGCCTATGATCCTCCTGCACCTAGCACTCAGCAAAGGGTCTGACATTTAGATAGCCCTCAATCAATATGAAGAATTTAAAGTGTAGTGACAAGGTGGTGCCCACACTGGATGGTCTGTATGCTGTGGTCTCATCAGGAACCTTTCTCTGCACTGCATTTTTCCTGAGAAATCCCAGAGTTCAATAAATACCTGTGTATGTCAGAGCTAGGCACATCTGATGCCTTTCTGTGACTCCTTATATTCTCAGTTTCCTAGGAATGCATATCCTGGACTTGTAATTGTAGGATACAGGTGCATTATGGGTGCAGATACCTCAGTTTTGCATCCTGCAAGAGTTAGTCTGCAGATTGTTCACTCCACTCTGGGTACGGCTGACACCTACAGCATGCGTCCAGGGGACAAAAATGGAAGGAGATGACTCTGATTGGATAGTGAGAGGAACACGGGTAGCTCTGGTAAACTGACCAGGGATAGGCGCCCAGGGGCACACAAGGCCCAGAAGCTGCTTGTGAGAAGTCAGGGAGAAGGAAGCCAACAACTGGATGTATCAGAGAGCCACTGAGTGCTCATTATGTGTATCAGGAGTTAAGAATCCATCCTCTACACGAAAAGGAAAGCTTAGACCAAACATGTCTTCTACCTTGATTTACAGTAACTTAATATGAAATGCAAAACACATAAAAATTTTGGATTGTAAAAAAAAGATCAGTGTTTGAAAGAGTGCCACACCTATTGCTTTGCACTTTCAACAATGGGGAGGCGTTTCTCACTGTATGAATTATTAGCTCAGGAGGTCTAGGCTGGTGAATGAATGCAGACTTAGAGGATAAATGTCGTCTACTTGATGCATTCAAAAGGCCAAGCAACATTTGGTTAAGGAGTATTTGTGATGGCATGCAAAGAAAGTGTTGAAAGTGTGTTAGATTATATTTATCGTTTTAAATTCTGATGCTTATTTAATTTCTTAACAGTAATGCTAAAACATGCTCTTAGTAAGTTATATGTTGAATCAGTGCTATGTTAATATGGGCCCTATAACACAGATTTGCAGTCTGTTCACCACTGAATAGCTAAGAATAGTGGTTTCAGACCTAAATGGATGAAGACACCAAACATGATGATGGGGCAGCTCACTGAAATACAGTAAATCCAGGAGAGGTCTATGTCCAACAGGCCACCTTATACAATAGTTTGGATGGATTTTCATGGTTTTCTTCTTTCTTATGTCTAAACCACAATGAACTTCTTTATTAACTCTTACTGTTTGCTAAAACCCTCAAGAAAAAAAAGTGATGAGACGTGACTTGGTGTATATTCTTAACAGAAAACAATCATGTTGGGTTTTGATTACTCATGGCACTAAGGAGAAAGGAACTTGGTTGGAGGCCCCATGAGAGAAATCATGCATTGAATCCAGGAACAGAATGATAGAAACTGGCTTCAGTGCAACTACTCAGCAGCAGCATCCTCTTGGGAGGCTGGGGGTCTGTCCTCGAAGCAGATACTGGGACTAAAGAAATAGAAAATGCTTGTTCCAAGGTACATTAGTCTTTTAGGCAAGGTCAGCAACCCTGTGGAGGTAAAAAACAGTAATCCCAGGTTGCTGGCCCCCTTCCTTTAAGTCCCAGGAGAGAAAAATAACGGTGAGAGGCTGAATCTCAGGCTGATAAAGAATAGAGTTGATCTGAGCTTCCTTTAGCAATGGAGCCATGCAATGCTCTTTCCCCACTCACCCCAGGGCTGAGGTTGAAACAGGGGTTCAGGCCTGAGACTCTTTTCCTAGAGGAGCCTCAGTGTCACAATGTACAGAAAGGACTTATGTCCTCCTGTAACTCCCCCAACAAGGAAATCAAAGCAGGAATATTGCCTGTTTATGCAGATCCTTGTTGAACTGAAATGAAAGGAAGAAAGAGAATGTATTCAGCTACTGAAACCACCTCAGACAATTAGAGAAACGTTTCCATCATACTTCCATTGCCCATCACTCAATGGACGCTCTGCAGGAGCCTGAGTAACTGGGACCTCATGCATCTGGCTGCATTAAGATGCCAGGCTGGGATTCCTCTCTCCTTAGAAGCTGTCTTTGTTTCCTGACTATGTGATTTCAGCAAGCTCTCTGGCATTGCTTTTTTGTCTCAGCCCCTCATCATGGAAGAAGGGTGAGCAAGTCAGGAGAAAGGTGGGTATTGGTCACCTCACAGGATTTCTCCCCTTTCTTGCTCCTTCTGTGCGTGAAGATGCCCACTCCACAGATGATGAGCCCCAGCATGAAGCCCCTGGCTCCTGTCAGCATCTTGCTCTGCACAGAATCAGACTGTGCCTCTAGGAAGAACAGGCTCAGGTTCAGAGTCAACTCCAGCAGCTGCACCCCTGCTCATGTCCTGTCTGAGATCCTGCAGCCTGATGCAGAATATTGGCATGAGGAGAGCGAGGGGAATACACCTTGCATGACAGGAAATTGAGAAACAGTCACTATCTCAATTCTGGAACAGAGGGTGTGACCTCAACAACAGACAAATTCAGATTCAATTAGTTGCCTCTCAAAATAACTTAGAATAAGCTAAAAGGCTGAAGGAAGACAACAGTTCCCATGTGTAAGGTCAGTTCAGGAAGGTGTCTGCATCCCTAGATTCTTGGACAAGGAGAGGAACTATGAATCCTTAGGACCTTCTAGGCCGGGGGCAGGCAAGTCTCCATTGTCCCCAGGTTAAAACTACACTCAGGGTCTTGTATAGAAGAAAAATGGGGTCGGACATGGTCCCAGGGTATAGACACATAAAACCAGATGAGTGGACCCCAGAGCCAGAGAGTCCCCTGCTCTTCAGAGGTGGAGTCTAGAGGGTCATCAGACCCTCACTCCACTCCACAGTGACAGGACTGTCCAGGCTGGGGTGCTCCACTTGGCAGGTGTAGATGTTTCCCTGCTGGGGGGTCATTTCCAGCATCTCCAGGATCTGGAAGGTCCAGTCTCCATTACGGATCAGGTTGGTGGACACGACCCCAGCTGTTTCCTCCTGTCCATTCAGGAAGCATCGGACTTGAATGCTGTCTGGGTAGAAATCTGTCACGTGGTAGACAAGCAGGTCGTGGTGCTGCTGGGGCTCCTTCTTGGAGGGGAGATGTTCACCCTAGGCTGGACTAGGAGTGGGGAAGTGGAAAAGTGGAATAGCATTTGAGATTATTATTTCTTAGACATGCTCATTATGGAATTGATTTCTAGATGTTGAAAATAGGAATGATGGCCAGGCGCAGTGGCTTACACCTGTAATCCCAGCACTTTGGGAGGCTGAGGCAGGTGGTTCGAGACCAGCCTGACTAACATGGAGAAACCCTGTCTCTACTAAAAATACAAAATTAGCTGGGTGTGGTGGTGCATGCCTGTAATCCCAGCTACTCAGGAGGCTGAGGCAGGAGAATCGCTTGAACCCCGGAGGCAGAGGTTGCATGAGCTAAGATCGCACCATTGCACTCCAGCCTGGACAACAAGAGTGAAACTCCATCTCAAAAAAAAAAAAAAAAAAAAAAAGTAGGAATGATGTGATTAGGTCAGCGGATAAGGGGAGTATTGAAACTATAGAAATAGTATTGAGAAGAATAGGAGGCACACAAACTTACCAGTTTGTAGCACATTTAAAAGAAATCTTATCTATCAGCCACTGATTAACAGCCTTTGGACAAAGAATATTTAATCAGCAGCGACACTACCTTATCTTTTGAGTGCTCTATCCTGATGCAAAAGATGAAAAATTTGCTCAAATGATTTCTTGAAATTAATATATATATAAACGACATTCTCATGGTCTATTAATCCAATAACTATATTTCATAAATATATCAAGAAAATAAAGTGAGCTTGACATGACTTATTCTGCAAGTAACCTATGGATTTTTTGGCCTCGCCTGCAAACACTCAAAATCGTCCTATTTACATAATATCCTGAGCCCCTACATGCTTAAATAGTAGAAATCCCATCCTTTTCCCTAAGTTCCTCCTCTGCACTGTGTTGTCACATCCATTGAGGTTCTCAGATAACCAGGTGTTGGCTGTGCCTTGGCACCTCTCTGTTTTTGCCCCCTCTTTTTCTGCCGCTTACAGATCAATTTCCACGCTACCACCTGCAGCTTTTTCTTTGGACCTCAGCCACTAGTACCCTTTTCCTCCACAGAAGGCAGAAAAGGGCCAACTGCCCCTAGAGAACAGCTCAATTACAGGAATGTTCCAAATCAGAGCTTCTAGGTCCTTATTTACTCTGTTCTTGAGAACACAAATACACTGACATGGGCCTGGGCCAGGTAAATGAACAGTCTTGAACTAACCCACAACCCTTACTCCCTATGGTATTTTTGCCTTGTGTCCAGGATTATTCACATTCACAGCCTCTTCCCTCGATGTGATTTTATTTCAGAGGCACTTGGCTCTCGTTCTACTTCAACCACCTCCGTAAACTCAACATCCATCAGACTGGTCAACCCATGTCTGAATCCCAACTGTAGATTAAGTGGAACTTCTTCCCCATAGGTGTTCTGGGAAGCATGAAAGTCATGGGATATATGGGTGTCTGTTTTAAGGTCCCAGAACATTCCATGAGAAGCACTTTGCTCCATCTTCTTTGATGGGAGCTGGTCAGCCTGGAGCACATCAGAGACCTCCAGGGGGCGCTGCAGCTAAGGCTTGATACCCAGTGGCCTCATTTCTGACCCAGTTCAAATATATTTCACCAAGGCAAGGATTCCTGTTTGTTCTAGTTGCCTTTGCTCAGTTAATTCTAGATTTGGGTGGGCATCCACACTGGAATGGCCAGAACTTCTATCCTCCTCTTTCCTCCATCTCCCCTACCCCTGTGTTTTTCTTTATTCTAATTCATGCCCTTATTATGATTTCCCTGGACAATAATAGCAGTTTCTTGTCTCATCTCCCTGCCTCTGGTTCCTGCTCTCTCCAACTGACTTCACAGTCTTCTGAAAACAGATTTCCAGCCTTGTCATTTTAAGATTTCTGAAGATTTTCAAAAATCTTCAGTGTTCTGACACTTATCTGGTTACATGGGAATCACTTGGGAGCTGATTAAAAACACAGATCTCCAGACCTCCCCACCTAGGGAATCTGAATCTCTAGGCAGTGAGTCTGGGGGAATCTTTGCTTCACAGAGGATCTCAAGGAGAGTCTTCTGAGCAGTGAGGTTGGGGACCTGCTGGCCTAGAGGAGAAATCCACACTCCTTAGTCTGGCATCAGGGGGTCTCTGCAATCTGGCAGCTGATTACCATGAAAGAAAATGCTGCCATGTCGCTGATTTGGGCCTCTATGAAGTCTTAGTGACAGATTTTGCAAATTGTATTACTTTTATTTGGACACCTCTCTCAACCAATTACGCCAGCAACTTTCCTAAACCCATGTCACTCTCCTCATCCTTACTCAATGTGTGCATCTTCTCCCTCTTATCAGATGACCTTCCTTTCACTTTCCCAGGAACAGAGGGATCAATGGTGTGACCTCCTGAGCCTCCTCCTCCTCCCCCTTCATTCTTTCCTCTTTCTCTAGGACAAAGGTCCTTGTTTAGTGAGAGGCTCACTGGTGCTTTTTGGTCTCCTTCACGGGATTTCTCTCTTGGCCAAATTAATACACGAGTTATTAAGAGATTATTTTTAGGCAGCTAAAAAGGGTAAAAGTTCTGGGTGGAATTTTCCTTTAATAAAAAGCAGCCCCAAGCCATTTTTTCTCTAACAGAAAGCAGCCTGAAAACTCAGGCATAGATATGCAAACTAGAAGCTTTTATGTAAATGCTGGCAGCTGTTCCTGGAAGTCATGTAATTCAATATGGCTATTCTCACCCTCTTTTCCTTCTACGTTTACAGGTGTCAAGGCAGCCTCCAGGTTAAAGCACGTGTACAGGTATCATGGCCGCCACCAGGTGGAGGCCGCATTTGCATAATAAAATACTAGGGTGGGAGGGCCAGTCTTTTTGCAGGTTATGTAAATGACACACCTGGTCAAACCAATCCCCTGAGCCCTATGTAAATCAATCACTGCCTCCTCAAGCCTCTGTACAAAACCAATTGCTTTCCACCAGAAACAGGAGACCCTCTCTTGGGTGACCTGCCTTATCAGCATTAGGAAGCTTTTCCTCTCACTCCTCTTTTCTATTAAACTTTCCGCTCCTAAACCCACTCCTTGTGTGTGTCCGTGCTGTGAATTCTTTTTCGGCTATGGTAAAGAACCAGGGTATATACCCTAGACAGTGGAGCTGTTTCATTTTGGGAGCTCATCCGGGATCCAAATCAGAATGGAAGATAGAAACATCGGAGTGGTGAGTATAGAGCAAACGTCAAATCTGTTCTTTAATCTCAAGGATCTCTTCATACCAGTTTCCTTTCATGGAGAACTTCACCATCGCATGAGGCTGGGAAAGTCTTGGGGCAACTGAAAATTTCTGGCCAGGGCACACCCTGGTGTTATTCAAAGTCTTCTGGACTGAACGCAGCCTCCGGACAGCCTGTCCAGGTGTTGGTAATGGATCTCCAGCTAACCCGTTGCAAAATTTTCCTTTCCTTTGTATCCGTGGTCACTATGTCTCCTGTCCTCTCTCTCTGTGTGTGCAATTTGCGGGAAGTTTTACAGTTCAGGGAAACACTCCTGTTAGGGAAGATCGGCAGATGCCACAGGCAGTAACTGTTACTCTCTATCCTCTCTGGCGAGCACATGGTAGTGCTAAGCCAACAGCACCACCTAGTGGAAATAAAAATCCTCTTCATCAGGCACCTTGTCGGTTTTTTACCGTAACACTGCAGCTTCCAAATTCTTTCGTGCCGCTAGAAAAGCCTCTTCTGTGAACGAGAAAGCACTGTCTTCAACAGTTTGGAGTAAAATGTCCTCTGTAGTGAAATTTTAGTTCTGATACTGTCTCATCAGCAGGAAAAACAGCCATTAGGTTCCTACGTTCATTTCCGTCTCCAATTAGGATAGTACTTAATTAGCAAGGGGATTTTAGGTTCGGAAGTTAACCAGAGCCATTTTGCTAAGGGTAAATGTTTTAGCATGGGCCGTAATGGCAGGCAATCTAGCACACTGCCTCCGTTAAAGGAGCCTACCCAAAGATGACATAGTCTCTCTGGAGATCCATTTTTCTGGGAGCCAGGCAGATCACACAAATTTAGGACGTCAGAGGGGATCACATAAGGTGGATAAGCTAAGGTTGTGTGGGTAAAGTATGGTTAATCCCATCACTTAGTTTATCCAGTTCCACGGCTTGGAGGACCACGCCTACAACCGTGGGTGGTACATTTAACACGTTGCCAGGACCCAGGAACCAAGGAGAGAAAACAGTAGGGAGGACACTTCCACTATCTTCTCCTCCACCCTGGGTCACAGTGAAAGAATGGGGACGAAAGGATACTTTTATTCTCACTTCTTTTTCTAGATGGGTGACAGACCAGCTTCAGCTTGCACCCCTCTGGAGTGCAGTCTGAAACACTGGAACTCCTTTAACCTCAGGACTTTGAAGAGAAAAGTGACTCATTTTCTTTTGCACAAGGGCATGGCTTTTTTACTAAACCTCTGCAAGCGTTGTAAGATCAGCCCAGCTTTTTAAATAGGCATATCAGGTAGGCCTATAGAAAATAATCCCCCAGAATTAGAAAGGCAGTTTCCAAGGGAACCATCTGAGAATTCCCCTTATTTAGGGTTGCCAATGTGGGGGAAGTAAAGAGAAATCAGACTGTTGCTGTGTCTATGTAGAAAAAGGAAGACATAAGAAACTCCATTTTGATCTGTACTAAGAAAAATTCTTCTGCCTTGACATGCTGTTAATCTGTAACCCTAGCCCCAACCCTGTGCTCGCAGAAAACCTGTGCTGTATTGACTCAAGGTTTAATGGATTTAGGGCTGTGCAGGCTGTGCTTTGTTAAAAATGTGTTTGTAGGCAGTATGCTTGGTGAAAGTCATCGCCATTCTCCAGTCTCGAGTACCCAGGGACACAATGCACTGTGGAAGGCCGCAGGGACCTCTGCCCAAGAAAGCCTGGGTATTGTCCAAGGGTTCCCCCCACTGAGAGAGACAGCCTGAGATATGGCCTTGTGGGAAGGGACCTGACCTGACTGTCCCCAAGGCTGACACCCATAAAGGGTCTGTGCTGAGGAGGATTAGTGAAAGAGGAAGGCCTCTTTGCAGTTGAGATAAGAGGAAGGCATCTGTCTCCTGCTCATCCCTGGGAATGGAATGTCTCGGTGTAAAACCCGATCGTACATTCTATTTACTGAGATAGGAGAAAGCCGCCTTATGGCTGGAGGTGAGACATGCTGGTGGCAATACTGCTCTTTACTGCACTGAGATGTTTGTGTAAAGTCAAACATAAATCTGGCCTATGTGCACATCCAGGCACAGCACCTTTCCTTAAACTTATTTATGACACAGAGTCCTTTGCTCACGTTTTCCTGCTGACCCTCTTCCCACCATTACCCTATAGTCCTGCCACATCCCCCTCACTGAGATGATAGAGATAGTGATCAATAAATACTGAGGGAATTCAGAGACCAGAGCCGGCACAGGTCCTCTGTATGCTGAGCACTGGTCCCCTGGGCCCACTGTTCTTTCTCTATACTTTGTCTCTGTGTCTTATTTCTTTTCTCAGTCTCTCGTCCCACCTGATGAGAAATACCCACAGGTGTGGAGGGGCTGGCCCCCTTCAACCTCAAGCTCCCTTTTCATTACAGGACCTTAGGCAAACAAAGGAAGACTTATGCTAATTTTCTGATAACCCCAATAGGTATATAGAAGCTTTCCAGAATTTAACTCAGGTGTTTCACCTCACATGGAAGGATGTTATGCTGCTCCTAAACCAAACTCTAACCGCAGTTGAAAAGCAGGCAGCTCTGCAGGCAGCAGATAATTTTGGAGATGAGCAACATATCTCCTATAATACACCAAAAGGGAAGAAAAGAGATAGGGAAAGTGAAAAAAAATAGCAGAAACACCATTCCCAGTAGGAAGGGAAGCAGTTCCTCTCGACAACCCCAACTGGGACCCCAATAGCTCTGCAAATGAATAGAAATGGAAGCATTTTTAAAATATACATATTAGAGGGTCTATGAAGAACTAAGGCCTGACCTCTTAATTCCTCTCAACTGTCTATGATAGACCAAAAGCCAGATGGGAATCCTGCAGCTTTTATGGAAAGGCTGAGAGAGGCACTAATAGAGCACACTTCTTTAGCCCCTAATTCAGTCAAGGGATGGCTCATTGTAAAGGACAAGTTTATTACACAGGCAGCTCTTGATATTAGAAGGAAACTGTAGAAGCAAGCTATAGGACCAGATAGCACCTTGGGGAACCTCCTGAGGGTGGCCACTTATAATAGGGACCAGGAGGAGGCCCCCCAGAGAGAGAGAAAGCTCAGGAGAAAGACAGAGGCTCTAGTAGCAGCTTTGCAAGCTTGCAAAGTCCAAGATTTCTGAGGTGCATCCGCTAGTTGCTATCAGTGTGGCAAGCCAGGGCATTTTAAAAAGGAGTGCCCAAACAGCAAGAGGAAGCCACCTCAACCCTATCCAGCCTGTGGTGGAGACCACTGGAAATCAAACTGCCCCCGGAGACGGAGGTCACTGGAGTCAGAACCAGTCTCACAGATGGTCCAGCAGGACTGATGGGTCCCGGGGCTCAAACCCCAGCTCCAGTGGCTCAAACTGCCATTACAGCACGGGAGCCACCAGGTGATTCTGGAAATTGAAGGAAGGAAAGTAGACCTCCTTCTAAACACTCGAGCCAGTCTCTCTCTCTTTTCTCCTCTTTAATCCAGGCCTCTCTTCTTCCCATAGCATGAGTGTAAGGGGTGTCTCAGGAAAAACTCTATTCCAATATTTTTCTCAACCTCCTAATTGCAGTTAGGAGGACCTATTGTTTACACATGCTTCCAAGCCATTGCCACGGTGGCTCTACTAGTCAAAAAAGCCTCCAAATTAACCCTAGGAAATAATTTAACTGTTTACACCCCACATAATGTAGCAGGATTACTGTCCTCTAGGGGAGACTTTAGCTAACAAACAGCAGGTAAAGCAAGAAATACATAAGGCAGGACAAGCAATAGTCACTCTAATGTCTCTCCCCAGACACAAGCACTCAATTAGCTGAACTAATAGTTCTTGCAAGTGCACTTAAATTAAGCAGGGGAAAGATAGCTAACATTTCCACTGACTCCAAGTATGCTTTTTTAGTTCTCCATGCTCATGCTGCTATTTAAAAGGAAAGACATTCTTTTACCACTAAAGCATCTCCTATAAAATATCACCAGGAAATTAACAGGTTATTATCCTCAGTTTTCCTTTCACGAAAAATAGCAGTAATGTATTATAGGGAACATCAAAGGGGAACAGATGAAGTAGCCAAAGGAAATAGGTTAGCTGAGCAGGGAGCTAAGCAGGCGGCAGGGAAGCCTCAAGGCATTAACACACTTCAAGCCCTTTTAATCTCGGAAGCCTCCATAAAAGAAATTAAACCTCAGTATTCCCCTGCAGAAATAAAATAAGCCACTTCTTAAGGGTATTCCAGCCCTGAGGATGACAAACTCCATTTACTGGCCTCCAGTCAATGGAAAGTCCTTAAAATCCTTCACCAAGCTTTTTCACATAGGAAAGGATAAAACTTATCATCAGTGTGCTCAGAGATTGTTTTCAGGCAGAAAACCTCTAAGTTGTTTAAAAATGTAACCTCTCTAGCTCACTTCCAACAGAAATTGACACAACTAGCCAAAGGCCAACCCCAGGAAATTGGACCACCTTTACTTAGCCAGAAAATTTGGTATTGGTGAAAACTCATCTCTCTCTCCTTCCCTAAGCCAGGCTGGGAAGGGCCCTACACAATTCTTCTTTCAACCCCCCCAGCAGTAAAAGTTACAAGTATCAACCTCTGAATATATCACACTCAAGTCAAAGCCTGAAAAGCTGAGGGAGCAACCTTTGACAGCCCAGAGGAACATCCTGAATATCAATGTGGAGATATAGAAGATCTTAAGCTGAAAATCATAAAAGGTAAGTAAATGAGTGAGGGCTACTCGCCTTAGCGCCATTCCTACCTCACCAGGTACTCTTTATCATTTCTACCTTTCCTCTCAAAATTCACTGCTCAGTATTAGAACTTTTTTTTAATGCATATTTGCAGAGAGATTTTAATTATACATGGGACTGCATTTGTTACTTTGTAAATCCCCAAAGGGAAACATTATATCTTGGCAAGTAAAGTTTTAAATGGAAATTATTTACTACGTCACTTTTGTGGGAATTGTTATCATCATGCTGTTATTTGCAATAGAACTGTATACTGTGGCACCCACAATGTGGAATTCTGGTTGTAAAATTCTAATTCCTGTAATATTTTGCCTAATTATCATCTTTATGACAGAATTAATAATTGCAGGAAGGATTTGGTCAAGTTTGTTTTGCTTATAGCAGGAGTAATAGTTACAGACAAGAAGTAAGCATGAAAATTTTACTATCACTAAGTTTGATAGGACTTTTTTATTGAAGATTGGTAAATGGTGCACTCTAAGCTATGGAAAGAAGGTTACAAATAAAGGGATTTTATATAAGAAAGGATCTTGTATAGTAAATTCTTGTCCTAAAAGGAAATGACTGGTTGTTTAAGACAAGTCAGAAAGTTGAGTACATTGTAAGAGGGTCTGTGAAAGTCATGAAAGAATTTAATAATTAAGAAATTTAATAATTAAAGGAAAGGAATTGCCAAGATTAACACCAAAGTTATTTTAGCCACCCAATAACGTTTTTCTCCCAATCATATCATAAGTTATAAAGAATGGCCTAAACCAAAAATTATGCCCTAATAGCAAGTCAAGGGGGAAACATGTTTTTCTCAAAGGAAATGATGCTTTTATATTAACGTTTCTGGTAATGTACAGCGACATCTAGTGGAGACAAACCAGTATTACAATCCATTGGTGTAACAGGTATCAAACTCTACTGTCATAGTTACAGTCTATAGGTGGTAATCTTAATACTCATATGGTAACCCTATATTTTAAACCTTCTTGTAAAATTTATCTCTTTTTGCCTAGAAGCAATCAAACTTCAAATGGTGCTGCAAACAAAGCCACACATGGACATGCCATTCTTCCAAGAAGCCTTAGATCAACCTCAGGAGGAGCCCCAACTGCAGCCCCCCAACACGACGCCCCTTTTCAGCAGGAAGTAGCCAGAAAGAATCGTCGTCCAACACCCCCTAACAGCAGTTATGGTTACGTCTCCTGAGGGAGGAAATAATACAGGAGTTATTAAGAAATTATTTTTAGGCAGCTAGAAAGGGTAAAAATTCTCAGTGGAATTTTCCTTTAATAAAAAGCAGCCCCAAACCATTTCTTCTCTAACAGAAAGCAGCCTGAAAACTCAGGCATAGATATGCAAACTAGAAGCTTTTATATGTAAATGCTGGCAGCTGTACCTGGAAGTCAGGTACATCCAATATGGCGGTTCCCACTCTCTTTTCCTTGTCACCACGTTTACAAGTGTCATGGCAGCCTCCAGGTAAAACCACATGTACAGGTATCCTGTCCACCACCAGTTAGAGACCGTATTTGAATAATAAAAGACTAGGGTGGGAGAGTCAGTCTTTTCGTGGGCTATGTAAATGACACAACTGGTCAAACCAATTCCCTGAGCGCTGTGTAAATCAATCACCGCCTCCTCAACCTCTGTACAAAACCGACTGCATTCCACCACAAACCGCAGACCCTCTTTTGGGCAACCCACTTTCTGAGCACGAGGAAGGATTTTTTCTCTCTTTTCTTTTCTATTAAACTTTCCACTCCCAAACCCACTCCTCACGTGTGTCTGTGTCGTGAATTTTCTCGGCCATGACAAAGAACCAGGGTATATACCCCAGACAATGGAGCCGTTACAAAATCACAATGTCCAGTTCCCAGGATCCAGTCCTATGCTCCTCCCGATGGGTCCCCTCTCCCTGGGTGGTCTCATGTAGGCCAGGCCCCTTCCCCGCTGCAAACTCTTCTCTCACCTGCCCATCAGACCACCCATCTGGCCCCTCAAGCACCTCAAACCCGGCCATCTCCCTGCAGGTTTCTTCTCTGCGTGGCCTGCTGTGCCATCTCCACCTTCATCTCCACACCGCACCCCTGCACGATGTCCTGTGGCCTCGTTTCCCCTCACCCCACATGCAGTCAGCTGCCAGGCCTGATGAAGTCCCAGGGGTCTCTCTCCCTCCATCCTCCTCACTCCATGCTCAGCCCAATCTCCGTGCTCACCCTCCTGACAAGCTCCGGTTGGGCTCCTCCCATCAATCCCCAGCTCAAAGTCCCCTTCCCTCCTGGCACTAAGGTCCCTTAGGCCGGCCCGGCTGCCCCTACTCCCTGGGCCCGGCCCCCACGGCTGCCCCAGGAGCCCTGGTCCACAGCCCTCACCTCGGCGCTGCCGGATGAGTGGCTCCATCAGCTCGTACTTGTGTCTGCACACCTTGTCCACCTCGGCTCGCTTCCGTTCCATAAAGTCCTTCTGGCTATTGAAGTACTCGCCTATGGGCCGCCCCAGCTCCATCACTGCTAGGAACTCCCCCACTGCGCTGTCAAAATGCACGTATTCCTCCCGGTTGTAGATGAGCCCGTCCACAACGCGCTGAGTCCCATTGAACGCATAGCATTCCTGCCGTTCCTGGTAGACGGAATTCTCTGTGAAGAGCAGGGAGAGATGGGGGTGGTGCCACTCCCAACAACACCCCCCTCCTCAATATGAGCTATTTCCTCAAATCTTCCCACTCAGGACTGGATTTAAAAATACGATTTTTCCTACTACCGAGTTCTGTGGTCCTAGGCAGGTCACAGACTCCAGGCATCAGTTTTCTCACCACGCAGCGAGAGGATTTACTGAAAAGAATGAGACTCACTGCTCAGGGTGGCTGAGTGATCATTAGGGAGGGGCGCACGCTGAAGGGAAAGCAGCCCTTTCTGCTGGCGGCTGGAGGAGGAGGGGGAGACATTTCACGCGGAGTCTCAGGGAGGAGCAGAATCTCATCAGGGGGAGGGTCCCTCAGGCAGAGAAACAGTAGGGATAGGAGGAGTTGGGGACCTGGAGGGCAGAGCTGCTCCCCCTACCCAACTCCCTGCCTGACATTTCCATCCTGATGTCAGTCCTGGCTCAAATGCCACCTCCTCCAGGAAGCCCTCCATTCCTTCTTTCCCTTTCTACAGCTAGGTTCTCTCTCTTCTCTGCCAGTTTCTTGAGAATACCTCAAGTTGCTCTTGCTGTTCTGCATGCTGGACATCTCTGCATGCTGGAAATGCAGAAATGCATTTCCATGCATTCCTCCCTCCCTCCCTCCCTCCCTTCCTTCCTTCTTTCTTTCTTCTTTCAATGGAGTATCCTTCCCTCCCTCCCTTCCTTCCTTCCTTTCTTCCTTTCTTTCTACAGAGTATCACTCTGTCGCCCAGGCTGGAGTCCAGTGGTGCAATCTCAGCTCACTGCAACCTCCGCCTCCAGGGTTCAAGCAGTTTTCCTGCCTCAGCCTCCTGAGTAGCTGGGATTACAGGTGTGCGCCACCACGCCCAGATAATTTTTGTATGTTTAGTAGAGATGGGGTTTCACCATGTTGGCCAGGCTGGTCTCGAACTCCTGACCTCGAGATCTGCCCTCCTCGGCCACCCAAAGTGCTGAGATTACAGGCGTGAGCCACCGCACTTGGCCAGAAATGCATTTCTTAAAACTTCTTGAAGTTTGCCATAAGAAAGACTATATAGCCTGAAAGTTAATTTTCACTTTCAAACATGGCTGTAGAAAGACTTGATCTCAAAACACCTGGAAAATATCTTAATCAATGAAAATCACCAGAACAACCAGAAAGCTAAGTGACTGGACTCCTTTAGGTTTAGAGGCATTGATGGTGTCATTTTTACATAAAGAAATGTGGCAGCCTTTTCCACCTGCAGTTCTTCCTAGGGAGCACCATGGGCAGTGTCCGGCAGGTGCATGTGTATACAGAAGTAGCAATGACCCAGCACATGTCTGAGCCTCTTCAGACCTGATCTGTTCCTGGTCACAGTGGGGAAATTAAGGTGCTGTGATTTGCACACAGCAAATTAAGGTTTGTTTTGGACACCTGTTTCATGTTCTACAAATTAGCAACTCACGTTTATTAACCTCACCCCTCATAGAAGATGCACAGCTGGTGGCAGAGGACAGTAGAGAAGGGGTGGGGCTGGGCACAGCGGCACCGTAGACTCGGCCTGTAGTTTCCAGTGTCATCTCTAAGGCAAGATCCCAGGACTTTAGATATCTTAACCCGCCTCTTCTCCTAGTGCCTTGGGCTCCAGCCCCCTAAACACCCAGGCCCATCGCCCCCAGCCCCTTTAGTCTGCCCCTCCCTATTCAAGTGCCCCACTCTGAGTGTGTATCCTCTCATTTTAATTTGTTAGTCTTTGTTCCTCTTCCTCATTCACCAATAAGAGAACATGTTTTAGTCAAGAGTAAGAATTTCAAAACTTTCTTTTGCAACATTTAACTTTTTAAACGGAATTTTACCTGCAAAGCAGATATAAGTGATGAGTATATGGTGGAATTTGAAACTTCATTTTTTTTTTGTATATGGAAAACTTTATCCTGTTTGCGGAATCTTTGACAATTGAGTTACCCAGAGCACAATTTGAAAACCAATGATCTGAGTGAATTCATCTCTCACTCAGAATAGGTTATATTAAAATATAATTGCAGAAAGATATAATGGAGTCCATATGGGTAAGAAAAGGAACATGTCACAGGTAGGGATTCCAGTTCTTGCACTACGACTGATTACTAAGTTATCTTGGACAAGAAACAACCTTCTAACTCTCCATTTCTTGAAAGGCAAAATAGTAATAATACTATTTACCTTGCAAAACTGCTGTGAGAACCAAATGAGCTCACATATGTCAAATACATAGTATTGTATCTGTTACTGCTCAATCTATGTTAGTTCCCTTCCTCTTTTCACTGTGTGACCTGTTTGAATAGGAGCAAAATTCTAAATAAATGCATATGAAAGAGGAACTGGATCAGCTTATGAGCTACTGGAAAACCTCAAGAAGACTTTCCATGGGCACCAGATCTTAATGGTTGAAAAGTGTTTGTTGGCTGTTTGCTGACTGGATCTTCCCCCCTCTCTTTTGTGCTAGGGATTTTATTTGAGGAGTTAGATTAACAGAAGAGTGAGTACCCAAAGACTCAAATGCACAATGAGCTTCTGCAAGTGCCCAGCTGGTGTGACAGGAGGACTCGGGAGTGTGGCCCTAATGCTTGGGGTAGTGGGTGGGGTGAGGTAAGAAACTCAGCTATAAAAAGCCCATTTTAAAGCTTGTCAGAGACAAAAGGGTGTTGCCTCCAGGAGTCTGGTTTTTTCACCTGCCGTGTCATCTCCTGCTCCCTAGGTGTTGTCTCAGCCAAGCTTTTCTCCACCCTCCCCTCTCTCACTTTAAGCCACAGCCTGGCTCCTTGTGCCTTTCCTCTTGTGCTCTGAGGATGGAGATGTGTGTGGAGTTGGAAGAGCATGCAGGGAATTGTGGAATTGGCCCTGCCCACTCTACCCACTCCCCTATGGCTCCAGCTCTCCCTCCAGCAGGTTTTGATTGGACATTCATTCTACACGGGGAGCTCTGGTAACCCACCCTCGGTTCCTGTCACATGGCTCCACTGCCTCATCTCATTTCCCCTACCAACCTCAACCCAGTCTTTGCCCGTCCACCTGTTCACTGCCCACCATCATCACGCTCCCTCCTGTGCTTTCTGCTACCCCGCACCTTGAGGGTTTCCATGGCGTTTCCCAACACCACCCCTCATCCTACAAACAACTCTGCCTATGGACACTGTTGCTATGGACCTCCTGCTGGACACTGTTCAGTGTCACCAGCGCTGCTCCAGCCTCCTCTCTCCCCAACCTCACCCCTCTCCAGTTCCCAGGGCTGAGCCATTCTGCTGGTTAGTTCTCAGCACCCCTGTGACTACAAGTGCAGTTTGTCCACCCTTTCCCGGACAATGAACCTGAGGTAATAGGTGAGGGGCTTTGGGGTTTGAGGGGCTGTCCTCAGGAGATTCGAATACTGTTACCCTGGAAAATGAGGAGGTGACATGAGAACAGCACTTTCTAGGGGTGTCCTAGGTGGATGTGGAAGGGTCTCAGAGGGAGGGTCTATGCAGAAAGGTGGAAGTCAGTGGAAAACTAAGACACCTACTCTGCAGTCCTTCCTCTCAGGGTGTTGGTGTAAATTTGGACCAGAAAAGTAAGAACATCCTGAGAGAAAAACAATGGGTCATAGAAGCCATAATATTACACCAGCCACAAGGAGACAGCAGGAGACAGAGGTTTTTCCCTTGGTTACTGCTTTCTTGGCTGTCTGATAACCTACACTCAATCTCTTTCACGTACTCACACATCCTTATCTCATTCTTCTGACAGGTTTCAACCCATCCTAATACTCTAACCAAGTTCTGGGGAGGCTGGGAGAAATACCTTCAACAAGAGTGCCTTTAGGGGCTCGAACCTGTCCCCCTCCCTCCCATCTTGCCTTCATTGTCCAGGGAGCATTGGCTCCTGCTCCACCCTGGAGAATGAGAGGCATTCTCTGTGAGCACTGAATCCTCAGTGATACTTGTAGTCTGGACACACCAGCTAAGGGCTCTCTGCCTGAGTCCCCTCAAGGTTGGATGCAGATGTGAGCACACCCAGGAGTCTGCACTTGCCAACCTCTCTCTCTGAAACCTTGTCTGTCCAAGGTTATCCTGAACCTCTTGGCCCCATTTCCCCATAGACAAGCAACTTGACCCCTGAGCACCTCCCCTTATTTACTGTGTCCATGTTCCTGGAGAGAGAATAGACCTGGTGGATAGCAACCTATCCTATAGGAGGTGAGTTTGATTCTCCAGCTGTGATAGAAGGACACTAGGCCGTGGCAGGAGCCCCACATGCTGTCTCAGAGTCTGGTTCCATAAAGAGAAAGTCCCCTAGGAATTGTTCCCTGAGCCAGACCCTCCAGGAATAGCAGCTCTGCTCTTACCTGGAGTGGCCCTGCTCTGGACCACAGATATGAGCAGCACCATCAGTAATGCTGTCAGAGCCACTGTCCAGGGGCCCCCTGAAACCTGCAGGATCATCATGGAGTTGGAAAAGGTTGGCAGAATGAAGAGAGCTGCAGTCAGGAAAACAAGAACTCATTAAAGGGAGCTCCTGTCTGAAATATTAGAGACCATGAACCCAAGCAGTCTTCTGTGACCCTAGGATTGGACAGACTCTGAGAAAAGAACCAATGGGCACTGAGCTTTGTATGAGTCATTGCTCACTGGGCAGAAAGTTAGTATTAAAGATCTGACAATATAGAGCCAGTGATGCTGTTACGAGGACAGATGGAGAACACTGACACTCATTTTAACCAGTCAGAGTCATGAGTTTTGGGGAGATGATGTGTTTTCTTTGCTCTGAAGGTGATCTCAGATATTCTGCTGGCCCACCTACAGGGATTATCATTTCCCCAATTCTGCCACACCTCACACACCCACAGGACATGGCCTGGTGTGGAAGAAATGCTATCTCAATGTGTAAAAGGTCATTCAGTGGCATGATTTAGAGAGATTAGAGTATCCATCCCAGAACTGAAAATGAGGCCTGGAGTCTGTTTTGCCTTTGTTCAAGGCCGTGCTTCAGATTAGTGCACATTCATATTTTCTTCCTCCCACATGTCTGTGAGTCCTGAGATGTGCGGGGGATACTGGCTCCTTCCATAGGACTGTCATCAGGGTCAGCAGGGCTCAGTCTAGGGGCCTTACACCTGGGAGCATGGACACACCACCTACACTACCATGGAAGTATGCAGCTTGAAGGACACTGCCTGTCTTGGACTTCAGTTCTTTGTCTTCAGTATGGGGATGATATGACCTGCCTTTACAGCAGGGCTCTTAAGGTCAAATTAGATCAACGGATCTGTAATTGCTTTGGAAAAATGAGACTAAAAATTATACAGTGAATGAGGAAGAAATGAAAAAATGTCATAAAAGACCCTACATTTTCCAAAACATCTGATTCTGTGGTGTTTATACTGAATAGTTTCATAAACTTTCAAAGAATATTACTCCTTAATTTAAAGACCTATAAATGTGATCCTGTACGACCTCCTAATCTAATAAAGAAAATGTAAAAGTGGCATCATTTGTTTATATAAATGTTAAAATGTAAATAGAAGACTAGCATGTAAAATTCAAGAGAAGAAAATAATTATGCAGTAGAAGGGGCCAGTATAGGATTGCGGGGAAAAAGCTCACGTTCCCTGCCATAGTCACCAAGACAGCATGGTACTGGTATAAAAATAGGCACATAGACAAAGGGAACAGAATAGAGAACCCAGGGATAAACCCAAATACTTACAGCCAACTGATCTTCGACAAAGCGAACAAAAACATATGGTGGGGAAAGACACCCTTTTCAACAAATGGTGCTGGGATAATTGGCTATCCACATGTAGGAGAATGAAACCGGGTCCTCATCTCTCACCTTATACAAAAATCAACTCAAGATGGATTAAGGACTTAAACCTGAGACCTGAGACTATAAAAGCTCTAGAAGATCACATTGGAAAAACCCTTCTAGACATTGGCTTAGGCAGGGATTTCATGGCCAAGAACCCAAAAGCAAATTCAATAAAAACAAAGATAAATAGTTGAGACTTAATTAAACTAAAGAGCTTTTGCACGGCAAAAGGAACCATCAGCAGAATAAACAGACAACCCACAGAGTAGTCACAATCTATACATCTGACAAAGGACTAATATCCAGAATCTACAATGAACACAGGCAAATCAGTAAGAAAAAACAAACAACCCCATCAAAAAGTGGGCTAAGGACATGCATAGACAATTCTCAAAAGAAGATATACAAATGGCCAAGAAACATAAGAAAATGCTCAACATCACTAATGATCAGGGAAATGCAAATCAAAACCACAATGTGATACCACCTTACTCCTGCAAGAATGGCCATGATAAAAAAATAAAAAAACAGTAGATATTGGTGTGGATGTGGTGATCAGGGAACTCTTCTACCCTGCTGGTGGGAATGTAAACTAGTACAGCCACTGTGGAAAACAGTGAGGAGATTCCTTAAAGAACTAAAAGTGGAACTATAATTTGATCCAACAATCCCACTACTGGGCATCTACCCAGAGGAAAATAAGTCATTATATGAAAAAGATATTTGCACATACGTGTTTATAGCAGCACAATTCACAATCACAAATCATGGAACCAACCCAAATGCCCATCAATCAACGAGTGGGTAAAGAAACTGTGATATATATATGATGGAATACTACTCAGCCGTAAAAAGGAATGAGTTAATGGCATTTGCAGCGACCTGGATGAGATTGGAGACCATTATTCTAAGTGAACTAACTCAGGAATGGAAAACTAAACATATATTCTCACTGATATGTGGGAGCTAAGCTAAGAGGATGAAAAGGCATAAGAATGATACAATGGACTTTGGGGACCTGAGAGGAAAGGTGGGAGGGGGCAAGGGATACTGCTCAGGTGATAGGTGCACCAAAATCTCACAAATCATCACTAAAGAACTTACTCATGTAACCAAATACTACCTGTACCACTATAACCTACGGGGGAAAAAAGCAACATAACCATGAACCAACTAATAAAAAACAACCTTGCCTTCAGTCTGCATCCTACCCTAGAGACACTCTCTCTGTGTCCTCACACTTGGAGCTAAGCTTCTGACTTTTGTCTCCAGTACACCCCTGAGGATCCTCTCATCACGGCCATCAGAAACCTCTGTAGAAGGTCAAATCCAGTGGGTTCTTGTCAGTGCCTCTGACTTGAGTTACTGATAATATTTGCACCATAATCCACTTCTTTCTAATGAGCTACTCTGTCCTTATTTTTCTCCTATTTACTGAATCCTCCTTATCATCCTTTGAAATCTCCTCTTAATTATTATGTTCTCTCATCATACCCTGAGATCCCTGCATTTCTGATTTTTGGCACTCTTCCTGGAAAAGCTCATCTAACCTGCACCTATGCTTGATGACTCTCAGTTCTCTGGCTTAAACTCCTCTACTGAGACCACCCATCATACAAAAATGTTTACATATTATTTTTCCTTAGATAACTTTTAGACATTCTAAGTGCAATAGCCCCACACTGAACTCAGTCTCTTCTCTCAGTCAGGCTGTCTTCTCTCATTACCCTTTTTAATGAATGGAATCAAGATGTTTGCATTGGGTTGGGGAGATGTTGGTCAAAGGATACATCCATTTCATTTCATTTAGGATACATTTCAAAAGATACATTTCATTTAGATTGGAGGAATAATTTTAAGAGTTTTATTGTATAACATGGACTATAGTTGCTAACAATGTATTGTTGAAAATTGCTAAAAGGGTGGATTTTAAGTGTTCTCACCACAAAAAATAAGTATGTGAGGTGAGCCATAAGTTCTTTAGCTTGATGTAGCCGGTCCATGATGTACATACATTTCAAAACAACATATTATACATGATAAATATAAATAATTTTTGTCAATCAAAATAATTTAGAAAAGTGACACACACTTACACACACACACACAAAAGAGATGATTGCATTGGCCAGTCTAGGAATAAGAGTTATCTGGGAGTTTTCTAAGTCGGATGCCACCGACATCACTCACCAATAATCCCTTTAATGTCAATCAAATTAAGTCCTCTTCTTCCATCATTTTACTCCTATGCCCATTTCCTCACTCTTTGTTCAGGCACTATTAGTCTTGCCTCTTGAACCAACTTCTTTCACTCATGCTGCCCACTGTTGCCGTAGTGATCTTCCTAAATTGCAAATGCGCCATCACTCTCCTGCTTAAAATCCTTCAATGATTCCTTATGACTTCCAGGACAGAGTAGCCACTCCTGAGCTTTGCATGTAACATCTGTCATGATCCAGCCCCTGCCTGTCTATTTTTCCTTTTTTCTTGCTGCTGTTCCACATCCAAAGCTGGCTCCATTCATACTGAAGCAGCTGAAGTTCTTCAGATATGTCATTGCCACACTGGGCCCACACTTTTGAACCTGCTTCCTCCTGTGTGAGAAGTGGCTTCTGCCCTGTTTTCGGACTGCCTACATTGAAGCCATCTGTTCCCCAGGAAACCTTCCCTGATGCCTTGACAGCAGCATCTTGTGCCTGCCCCATATCTGCACTTATCCATCTGGGCCTGCTGTTGTCTTGTCACTTGTGTTCTCTTCTGTGAACTGTAAACATCAGGAGGACAAGACCTATGTCTTACTTTTATTTGAATATTTAGCATCTAACAATGTTCGACATATAGTAGGCTTTTGATACTATTTTTTTACTATGACATTGTAGTATATGTTAATATCCAGTAGGACATAGGATATATTCTCTCTGTTTTCAATTTTTCATTGTTTACACACATTTATAATTCTATCTATAAGGATTTACAATTATTTACATGAAATGAATGAAATAAATAGAGAATGTTAGATATTAAGAGACAGTGTGGAAAGCCAGGCTGGGACTAGGGATGCACTTACCTTAGGTGCAAAATTTAGGAGGATACCAAAAGAACTCAGTAATAAAAGTCAATCATATTTTAATGAAATATCTTAAGAAATCTAAATTAATGGAAAATATATAATGAACAAAATGTCAAAAGAGAACTATTCAAAGAAAATGGAGAAGCAGAGAGGCAGAAGAATTAGTAGAATATACTGGCACATAAGCCAAGGAGGTAAAGATTTCCAGGAAGGAGGAAGTAGAGTGGAGTCAGAAGTTCAACAGAAGTCATTTCAGAAATCTTACCTTGGTTTTGAAATCCTTTCAGAGAGCAGTTTTACATAATGTGAGCAATTATTTCTCCTTCATCCCCATCATTCCAGAATTGAGCTTCTTCTCTGGCTTCAGAAATGTGGCCCTTCCCCTTGTCAGGATATGTTGGCGACATGATGCATGCGGATGCCCTCAAAGTCAGCTGGGGTTTGGGGGTGAAATTAATTGACTTTAGGGAACTCCTTGAATGCTAAGTTCTGTTCACCTGGAGGACCAGAGAGGGCACAGAGATGACCACCTAGCTTCTGCCTGGGACCTAAACAGGGCAGAGAAATAGGAGGATCAGGTATAAAGGGAGCAGGGAAGATGGGTCTGGGCTTACAGTACTGAACCCAGGGATGACAGTAACTGTGTGTGTCTCGAGGCAGGTGACAAAATATGTGAAAGGAAGAGGACTTAGGAGAGATCTGAATTCCAGCTGTTTTACAAGCTATATCTCAGCTTTCTTTCTCAATTCATGTGCTCTCTACCCCAAAGGCTGATGGAATTGCTGACCCTTCAAGTTCTCTTCTCATCTGCACCCCTTCCCTCCTGCTGCACACTGTTCAGCGACATCACACACTTCTCCAGCCTCCTCTCTTCCTAGTCTTACCCCTTCCCAGTTTCCATAACTGAACTGTCCTGTTGAGGAGTTCTTAGCAGCCCTCTGTGACCACAAGTGCAAGTTGCACTCCCTTCTGAGACAAAGTCCCCCATTTATTCCCTCCTGAGGGCGTGTCCCTTCCCCTGACCCTCATGGACTCTCCCAGGTGCACCCCCTGTGGATTTGCTCCTGGGCCTGAGTTTCCCCTACTTCCCTGATGGTGTCTGGAGGGCAAGGGGTATCTGTCTATCTACTGAGTGTCATAAACTGCCCAACTCAGCACACCCACCCTCTACCTCTTCCTAAGTGTAGTGACACGGTGAGGGAGGTAATGGGGTGGGGTCTGGAATCAGACACCAGGAGGAAAGGGGTGGTGGCTCTCTTTGCCTCTCACTCTGTGTGTATTTCTCTCGGGTACCAGGAGGATTTCCTAAAGATTTCTTTCTCCTGACTGTTTTCTGGACCCGTCCTGGTCTCCAAGCTCCCCTCCTGATTCTCTGCAGTGCCCAGGTGTCCAACAGTTGAGCCTGGAGCCAGGCCAACTTGTCAGCTTCCTGTATGAGGATCAGACTGGACGACTTCAACCTGCTTAGCCCGTCTTCTGAGGCCTCACCCTAGTAGTTGGCAAGTAAGTCTATTTGCTCCTCTGGTCTGCCTGGCCCACACTTTTGTGAGAAAGTGCCCTAGAACCTGTACGCTCTAAACTGTGAAACCCTGTTCCTTCTTTTGGCCACAACACACCTACGCACTGCCCAAAGTTCAGTCACTTCTAGCCCAGAGTTTGGGCTTAGAGTGCATCCTTCTCTGCAAGTTGTGTTAGCCTGTACCTTGGGCAAGTTACTTAAATTTTTTGAGCCTCAGTTTCTACATCTTAGGATGGACAGTAAATAGAATTGGCACAAACAAGTGAGAAAGTGATGGCACAGTGTTTGTTGCACTGTAAGCACTTGATAAATGGCAGCTATTGTGATTACTGCTCTCATCGTCATTGGTTTCAACTTTCATCAACAGATCTCCAACCCTGTTGACGCCCCTGCTTCAGTCAGTCACTTGAACCTCTCACTCCATGACCAGGTGGCACCTTGTGGCTATGGCCATGAAGGGCCAGTCTGTCACCCTCATTGTTGACTGCAAGATGTGAGTCACCCGGCCTCTCCCCTGAAGAACTAGTCCAGTGTTGGACACCTGTGGGGTGATAATTGTTGGTGCCTGTATCCCAGATGAAGAAAGTCTTTGAGGTTACCACAAAAATCAGAGAAAGGAGTGACTTCTGGTCCCTTATTTTGTGCCCACTCCTCTTCTGGCCCCAGTATGCAATGTTCCTATTTCCTAAGCCTTCATTTTTTTTCTTGTGAATTTTGATTTGCATTTCCTATCTTCAGGACTGCTGATCTCTGCAGAATAACTAGATGTCCACTTATGTGGCAGGACTGTCCACAGCCACTTATTCTATCCTTCAGTCTTCATCTCTCCATCTATCCATCCCTTGAACCTATCTCTCTCCTCATCCACCCCATCCATCCACTCATTCACCAGTCCACCTACGCACACATCCACCACCCACTCCCGCAACCATTTACCCACCTATGCATCACAAACTTACCCATCTACTCATGCATGAAGGCTTATATCCACTCACCTGTCCATCCTCCCCCTGCTTAATGACTCTCCCCTTCTTTACACACATCTATTCGACTATGCTTTTGTTCATCTGTCCTCTTCAACTTATCCATCCATCTATTCACTCACCCACCCACTCACACACCCCATCTACCCATGCATACAAGGATGCATGCATCTGTTCAGCCACCCATCTATCCATTATCCTTCCTGGAACTCAACCACTCTCTCCTTCAATACACTCATGCACCCATCTCCTCACCCACTCACTTCACATCCAACCGTTCACTCAACCATGTATTCAATTCCACCCATCTATCTATTCACTCATCTGATTCCATCTACTCTGTACCTCCCGCTCATCTACCCACTAAGCCTTGCATGCATAATTCCCTCTGCAGGAGTCCCATTGTACCTGTTTTGTGCCTTTCTTTTCACTCTGGGTCATGGTAGCCATATTGTTGAAGGTTCACTTCCCAGATCCTCTTTTCTTGGCTGCTTCCTGTCTGTACAGCCACTTCCTGTTTGTCCAGTTTGTTTTGTGGCCATCTTGGCCATGTTTAATTTTCCTTGGCCCTGGCATCACTCTTGCATCCAAGTGTTTGTCATTTTATTTTGTGTCCCTTAGTTGTTCTCATATCTTCCAGTATTCTCTGTCAGTTGGACTGCTTCCTGTCTACTCTGCTACATCTTCTGCCTGCCTTGCAGTTATGGCTGCCTTTTCTACCCTGCTGCTGCATCCCACACCTCCTGCTCTTGGCACCCGTGAGCTTCTGCTGCCTTTCCTTTATGCTGCTGTCTGGGTCTTTGGGGTTGATGTGGGATCTGGGAGAATTTTGAAACGGATCATTGCTGTCAGGATGAAGGTGGAGAGGGGCATTCTGAAGATCTTTGTTTTGGGGAGTTGGGGTGGTGGTGAATGTTTCACCTTCTCCCCACCCTTATCTTGGCTATGGCCTGGATTTGGGAACAGGCATCTGAATGGAGGTGTGCAAGGGAGGGAACTGGTTGGCTTGGAGTGTACATGAGGGCCAGAAGAAGGGCAAAGCATCCTGCTGGGAGAGGAACTGTGGGGTGCATTGTAGGGGGCTGCTCTGGGGCTTGGATAACTGAGCCCAAGAACTGTATGTTTTGCAAAAGGCAGTTATGAGGCCTGAGTTTGGAATATCTCTGGGAAATGCTCTCCAAATTTACTTGGAGTATGGATACTTAACCTGTGCAGGGTTTTTACATTTTTGAACTCCTTCAAATTCTAAATAAAATTTTGTGCATAAGGGCATATACCTTTTCTTTTTTGGAGAAAGACTGAAAGACTCAAAGTCCTCTTTCTGAAAGAGGCTCTTCAGGATTTGGAGAGGTTGTGTTTGCTGAGGTGGGACTGAGAACTGGGGTGCAGGGAACCCTGAGATCTCCTTGGCAGGCATGAGAGTTTTGTGAACAGAAGTATTTAGAGGAAGCCTGTGGGGCTTGTGGGTAGGGCTGGTCTGGTCTCCAGAGGACCCAAAATCGAGGTTGGAGTTGAGATGGGGGCAGGCCTGGTGTCCTGGCTGCTCATGGGCCCCACTGGGGTTACATGTGTGTCTCCCTTAGGCTGCCCATGGGCCCCGGGGGCTGAAGGGAGAGAAGAGAGAGCCTGCAGTGCTGGAACCTGTAAGTCATGCTGGTCACAGGGCTGAGGTGGTGGAAAGAGGAGAAGCAAGTGGGGTTTAGTGTGCTGGCCCTGTCACCTGTGAGTTTTAACCTTTGACTCCACAGGGTATGCTCGTGGAGGGGCCCCCTGGTTTAGAAGGCCCTGTGGTGAGTCTAGCAGTGACCTGGTGGCCATTGTTTTCTTAGAGATCCCTCCTATGTGTTCATCTGTGCCTTCCCCACATATGCTCAGGCCTCCTCCTCAGAACTCCGGAGGGTCCTTCCAATAAAAGTTTTTTAAAAAATCATTTTGAAAAATTAATTCAATAGTTTTTGGGGAGCAGGTGGTGTTTGGTTATATGGATAAGTTCTTTAGTGGTGATTTCTGAGGTTTTGGTGCACCCATCACCTGAGGAATGTACACTGTATCCAGTGTGTAGTCTTTTATCCCTTACCCAGCTCCTACTCATACCTGGAAGTCCTCAAAGTCCATTATATAATTCTTATGCCTTTGTGTCTTCATAGCTTAGCTCCCACTTATAAGTGAGAACATACAATATTTGGTTTTCCATTCTTGAGTTACTTCCCTTAAAATAATGGTTTCTAATTCCCCCTAGGTTGCTGCAAATGTTATTTCATTCTTTCTTATGGCTGAGTAGTATTCTAAGGTATATAGATCACATATATATCATATGTGATCTATATATAGATCATATATATATATATGTGATCTATATATATATAGATCACATATATATATATCACATATATATATATCACATTTTCTTCATTCACCCATTAACTGATGGGCATTTGGGGTGGTTCCATATTTTTGCAATTGTGAATCATGGTGCTGTAAACATGTGTGTGCAAGTGTCTTTTTCATACAATGGCTTTTTTCCTCCAGTAGTGGGATTGCTGGATCAAATGGTAGATCTATTTCTAGTTCTTTAAGGCATCGCTGTACTGTTTTCCATAGGTTGTACTAGTTTAATTTCCCACCAGTAGCATAGAAGTGTTCTCTTTTCATCACACCTACCCCAACGTCTATTTTTTTTTTTATTTTTAAATTATGACCATTGTTACAGGAGTAAGTTGGTATCACATAGTGGTTTTGATTTGCATTTCCCTGATAATTAGTGATGTAGAGCATTTTTTCATATGTTTGTCAACCATTTGTATATTTTCTTTTGAGAATTGTCTGTTCCTCTGCTTAGCCCACTTTTTGATGGGAGTATTTGTTTATTTCTTGCTGATTTGTTTGAGTTTTTTGTAGATTCTGGATATTAGTCCTTTTTTGTATGTATAGCTTGCGAATATTTTCTCCCACTCTGTGGGCTGTTTACTCTGATGATTATTTCTTTTCCTTTGAAGAAACTTTTTAGTTTAATTAGGTCCCATCTATTTATCTTGTTTCTTTTGCATTTGCTTTTGGGTTCTTGGTCATGAACTCTTTGCCTATGCCAATGTCTAGAAGAGTTTTTCCAATGTTCTAGAATTTTTATGGTTTCAGGTCTTAGATTTAAGTCTTTGATCTACCTTGAGTTGATTTTTGTATAAGGTGAGAGATGAGGATCCAGTTTAATTCTTCTGCATGTGGACTGCCAATTTCCCCAGTACCATCTGTTGAATACGCTGTCCTTTCCCCACTTTATGTTTTTGTTTGATCAGTTGGCTGTAAGTATTTGGTTTTATTTCTGGGACTTCTATTCTGTTCAATTTGTCTATGTGCCTGTTTTTATACCATTCCCATGCTGTTTTGGTGACTATAGCCTTGCAGTATATTTTGAAGTCAGGTAATGTGATGCTCCAGATTTATTCGTTTTGCTTAATCTTACTTTGGCTATGTGGGCTCTTTTGTAGTTCCATATGAATTTTAGGATTGTTTTTTTCTAGCTCTGTAAAGAATGATGATGGCATTTTGATGGGGATTGCATTGAATTTGTAGATTGCTTTTGGCAGTATGGTCATTTTCACAATGTTGATTCTACCCTTCCATGAGCATGGGACGTGGTTCTACTTGTTAGTGTCATCTATAATTTCTTTCGGCAGTGTTTTTAATTTTCCTCGTACAGGTGTTTAACCTCTATTGCGGGAAGTCAGGGACCCTGAATGGAGGGACCGGCTGAAGCCACAGTGGAAGAACATAAATTGTGAAGATTTCATGGACATTTATCACTTCCCCAATCAATACTCTTATAACTTCCTATGCCTGTCTTTACTTTAATCTCTTAATCCTGTCATCTTTGTAAGCTGAAGATGTATGTCACCTCAGGACCCTGTGATGATTGCGTTAACTGCATAAATTGTTTGTAAAGCATGTGTGTTTGAACAATATGAAAACTGGGCACCTTGAAAAGAACAGGATAACAGCAATTTTCAGGGAACAAGGGAGATAACCATAAGGTCTGACTGCCTGCAGGGCCAGGCAGAACAGAGTCATATTTCTCTTCTTGCAAAAGCAAATAGGAGAAATATCGCTGAATTCTTTTGTCAGCAAGGAATAGCCCTGGGAAAAGAATGCATTCCCGGGGGAGGTCTCTAAAATGGCCACTCTGGGAGTGTCTGAATTACATGGTTGAAGATAAGGGATGAAATATGCCCTGGTCTCCTGCAGTGCCCTCAGGCTTGCTAGGATTAGGAAATTCCAGCCTGGCAAATTCTAGTCATACTGGTTCTCTGCTCTCGAACCCTGTTTCCTGTTAAGATGTTTATCAATGACAATGTGTGCCCAGCGGGATGTGGAACCTCATCAGTGATTCTAGTTTTGCCCTCTGCCTTGTGATCTTTTACTGCCCTCTGAAGCATGTGATCCCTGTGACCCATTCCCTATTCATAGACCCCCACCCCTTTTGAAATCCATAATAAAAACTTGCTGGTTTTGCGGCTCAGGTGGGCATCATGGAACCTGCTGACATGTGATATCACCCCCGGAGACCCAGCTGTAAATTTCTCTCTTTTGTACTCTTTCTCTTTATTTCTCAGACTGGCCCACACTTAGGGAAAATAGAAAAGAACATACTTTGAAATATTGGGGGCTGGTTCCCCCAGTAAACCTCCTTGGTTAGGTATATTCCTAAGTATTTTATTTTTTTGCAGCTACTATAAAAGGGGTTGAGTTCTTGATTTAATTCTCAGCTTGGTCACTGTTAGTATATGGCAGTGCTACAGATTTGTGTACATTGATTTTGTATCCTGAAACTTTACTGAATTCATTTATCAGATCTAGGAGCTTTTTGGATAAGTATTTATGGTTTTCTAGGTATACAGTCATATCATTGGTGAACAGTGACAGTTTGACTTCCTATTTACTGATTTGTCTGATTGCTCTGGCTAGGATTTCCAGTACTATGTTGAATAGAAGTGGTGAGAGTGGGCATCCTTATCTTGTTCCAGTTCTCAGGGGGTATGCTTTGAACTTTTCCCCGTTCAGTATAAGGTCGGCTGTGGGTTTGTCATAGATGGTTTTTATTACCTTAAGTTATGATCTTTGTATGTCAAGTTTGCTGAGGGTTTTAATAAAAAAGCGATGATGGATTTTGTCAAATGCTTTTTCTGCATCTATTGAGATCATATGATTTTTGTTTTCAAATCTGTTTATGTGATCTATCACATTTATTGACTTGTGTGTATTAAATCATCCTTGCATCCCTGGCATGAAACCCAATTTATCACCATGTATGATCTTTTTGATATGCTGTTGGATTATGTTAGCTTGTATTTTGTTGAGGATTTTTGCATCTATTTTCATCAGAGATATTGGTCTGTAGTTTTCTTTTTTATTATGTCCTTTCCTGGTTTTGGTATTAGGGCGATCCTGGCTTCATAGAATAATTTAGGGAGGATTCTCTCCTTCTCTGTTTTGGAATAGTTTCAGTAGGATTGGTACCAATTCTCTTCTTTGAATGTCTGATTGAATTCAGCTGTGAGTCCATGTGAATCTGTGATTTTTTATCGTTGGCAGTTTTTTAAAAATTACCATTTCAATCTTTCTGCTTTTTATTGGTCTGTTCACAGTTTCTATTTCTTCCTGATTTATTCTAGGAGGGTTGTATATTTCCAGGAATCTGTCTTCTCTAGGTTTTCTAGTTTGTGCCTGTGAATGTGTTCATATTAGCCTTGAATGATATTTTATATTTCTGTAATATCAGTGGCATTTTCTTCCATTTTGTTTCTAATTGAGGTTATTTGGATCCTCTCTTTTCTTGGTTAATCTCACTAATGGTCTATCAATTTTATGTATCGTTTCAAAGAATCAGCTTCATGTTTCATTTATCTTTTGTATTTTTTTGTTTCAATTTCATTTACTTCTGCTCTCTTTGTTATTTCTTTTCTTCTGCTGGGTTTGGGTTTGGTTTGTTCTTGTTTCTCTAGTTCCTTGAGGTGTGACTTTACATTTTGTATTTGTGCTCTTTCAGACTTTTTGATATAGGCATTTAATGCTATGAACTTTCCTCTTAGGACTGTTTTTACTGTGTCCGAGTGGTTTTCACAAGTTGTGTCACTATTATCATTCAGTTCAGAGAATTTTGCATCTTGATTTCACTGTTGACCCAAAGATCATTCAGGAGCAAATTATTTAATTTCCATGTATTTGTATAGTTTTGAAGGTTTCTTTTGGAGTTAATTTCCAATTTTATTCCACTGTGGTCTGAGAGGGGACTTGATATAATTTTGATTACCTTAAATTTGTTGAGGCTTGTTTTGTGGCCTATTATGTGGTCTATCTTGGAGGATGTTTCATGTGCTGATGAGAAGAATGTATATTCTACAGTTGTTGAGTAGAATGTTCTGTAAATATCTGTTAAGTTTATTTCTTCTAGTGTAACTTAAGTCCATTGTTTCATTGTTGACTTTCTGTCTTGATGACTTTCTAGTACTGTCAGTGGAGTATTGAAGTCCCCACTATTATTGTGTTGCTGTCTATCTCATTTCTCATGTCTAGTAATAATTGTTTTATAAATTTGGAAGCTCCCATGTTAGGTGCATATATGTTTAGGATTGTGATATTTTCCTGTTGGAGTTATCCTTTTATCATTGTATAATGTCCCTCTTTGTCTTTTTTAACTGTTGTTGCTTTAAAATCTGTTTTGACTGATATAAGAATAGCTACTCTTGCTTGCTTTTGTTTTCCATTTGTATGGAATATCTTTTTCCACTCCTTTACCTTAAGTTTTTGTGAGTCCTTACACATTAGATGACTCTTGAAGACTGAAGATACTTGGTTGCTGAATTTTTATCCTTCCTGCCATTCTGTATCTTTTAAGTGGAGAGTGTTAATATTGAGATGTGAAGTACTGTTCTATTTCTCATGCTAGTTGTTGCCTGAATTCCTTATTTTTTTCCTTTGCATTACTGTTTTATAGGCCCTGTGAGATTTATGCTTTAAGGAGGTTCTATTTTGGTGTATTTTGGAGTTTTGTTTGAAGACTTAGAACTCCTTTTAGCATTTTGTGTAGTGCTGGATTGGTAGCGGTGAAGTCTCTCAGCATTTGTTTGTCTGAAAAAGACTTTATCTCTCCTTCATTTATGACGCTTAGTTTTGCTGGATACAAAATTCTTGCCTGGAAATTATTTTGTTTGAGGAGGCTAAAGATAAGACCCCAGTCTTTTCTGGCTTATAGGCTGCTGTTAATCTGATAGGTTTTCCTTTATAGGTTACCTGATGCTTTTGCCTCACAGCTCTTAAGATTCTTTCCTTTGTCCTGACTTTAGATAACCTGATGACTATGTGCCTGGGCGATAATCTTTCTGTGATAAATTTCCCAGGTGGTCTTTGAGCTTCTTGTATTTGGTTGTGTAGATCTCTAGCGAGGCCAGGGAAGTTTTCCTTGATTATTCCCTCAAATATGTTTTCCAAACTTTTAGATTTTTGTTCTTCCTCAAGAATGCCAATCATTCTTAGGTCATTTAACATAATCCCAAATTTCTTGGAGGCTTTGTTTATTTATTAAAGTTCTTTTTTCTTTGTCTTTGTCTGACTGGGTTAATTCGAAAGGCTTGTTGTTTGAGCTATGAAGTTCTTTCTTCTACTTGTTGGATCCTATTGTTGAAACTTTCCAGTGCATTTTGTATTTCTCTAAGTGTGTCTTTCATTTCCAGAAGTTGGATTGTTTCTTCTTTATGATATCTACGTCCCTGGGGCATTTTTAATCCATATCCTGTGTTTTTAAAAAATTTATTTAAGTTGTTTTTCACCTTTCTCTGGTATCTTTTTGAGTAGCTTAAAATCAACCTTCTGAATTCTCTATCTAGCAATTCAGAGATTTCTTCTTAGTTTGGATCTATTGCTGGGGTCCAGTGTGGAGGTGGTAGGGGAGTGAAGTAGACTCTGTGAGAATCCTTGGTTGTAGATAGACTTAGTGTGGTGGCTTTCTCAAATGCTGGTTATGCTAGCAGTGCAGTTGTCATGTGAACAGACCGAAGACCACTGGTTAGTCAAGATTTTTCAGCCAGTGGAATTAGCTGTTTTCTCCTTTCTTAGAGCAGTTATTCTGTCGTGAATTGTTGTAATGTCCTGAGTTGGTTGGCCTCCAGCCAGGATGTGGTGCTTTCAAGAGGGCACCAGCTACAATAGTAGAAGGTGGATATAAGCTTGCCCTAAGTTGGCCAAGATAAATATTCAGTTTCTCAGGCAATGAGTGGTGTCATAAAGCTCCCAAGAGTTTACGTCTTTTGTGATTGGCTACCAGGTGGGTAGAGAAATGCCCTCAGGTGTGGACAGGGTTAGGCAGGTCTGAGCTCAGACTCTCCTCGGGCGGGGGGCTTGCGGCAGCCACTGTGAGGGATGGGGCGGAGGGTTTTTCTCCAGCCAATGGAATTATGTTCCAGAGGGCATTATGGCTGCCTCTGTCACCAGAGAAGTAGGGGAAACCTGGTAGCAATAGGCTTCACCCAGCTCCCATGCAGTTGGCGAGGCAGGTTTTGCTCCTGCTGTGCCACACTAACAGCATTGAATTTATCTCCCTGCAGCCTTCAGGATGGACTCAGACCTCACTCCAGGCTATAAGTTTCCTGCTGAGAAAGCAAGCACAGCTTTCAGGCCATGTGCCTCCCTGTCTGCCCACAATGTTGGCAGTAACTTCTGCTCTTTCTCCAGCAGTTCCGTTCGCCCCCAGATTCTGCTCCAGAGGATTTGTGCCCAGTCAGAATTATAACAAATTTCAGTTGGACGCTCCTTTCACACTGTGACCCCTTCCAAATTTTGCCGTCTGCCTTCCCCCAGGGCCCTTGTGAGATATAGTCAGGGGTGGCTTCCCTGGGCTTGAGCTAAAGACTGGGCGTGCCTACAAGGCTCTTCTCACTGCTGCATCTACCATATATATATATTTTTTTTTTCTTTTTGTTGCGACGGAGTCTCACTCTGTCACCCAGGCTGGAGTGCAGTGGCGCGATCTCGGTTCACTGCAGGCTCCGCCTTCCGGGTTTATGCCATTCTCCTGCCTCAGCCTTCCTAGTAGCTGGCACTACAGGCGCCCGCCACCACGCCTGGCTAATTGTTTTGTATTTTTAGTAGAGACGGGGTTTCATCGTGTTAGCCAGGATGGTCTCAATCTCCTGACCTTGTAATCCGCCCGCCTCGGCCTCCCAAAGTGCCGGGATTACAGGTGTGAGCGGCAGCGCCCGGCGTACTTTTGTATTTCATGCTAAATCTGTTTCAGGTCTAGGTAAAGTTAAATCCTTTTCCTGTAATCTGGATTTTCGAGTTCCCCAGTGGGGACATGGGTCCGGAGGCAGGTTTTTCCCCTCTCACGCTTTGGGAACGCACAGTTTTTCACTTGTCTGGTGGAGTTTGCAGTGGCCCCTCCCTTCTTTAAAAGGATCTGTGAATTCTTTCGATTTTCTGGGTATTCTCCTGCAGTGGTTCCTTTCTTGAGGGATCTGTGAAGTGAGTTCCTCAAGATATTTCTTGTCAGGTGAACAGTCTGTGGTCTCTGCAGGGCCTGTACCACCCCTGGGCACTGTATGCCCCACAGAGTGGGCCTCTCCTGTGCAGGGCCTGGGAAGAGGTTGATTATAATCTGGTGTCTGAGGCCTGGCAGCACCACACTCTCTTCAGTGAGTCAGGCTCAAGTCTGAGCACATCTGCAGAGCTTATGTTTGCTGTGTTGCTCATGGAAGGCAGGGAATCCAAAATTGTTTTCTTAGAGATGGACTCTCACTATGTTTCCTAGGCTGCTTTCAAACTCCTGGCCTCAAGTGATCCTCCTGTCTCGGCCTCTCAAATCACTGAGATTACAGGTATGGGCCACTGTGCCCAGCCTATTATCGATTTTCTCCCATTTCATTCAGTCCTCAACCCAATGTACTCTCTCTTTTTCTTTCCCTCATCTCTGATGCTCCTCTCAGGGTGGCAACTAATGACTTTTATACAACTCAAGCCAGTGGTCACTGTTCTGTTTCTGTCTTATGTGTGTCATTAGTGTGTTTGAGATGCCCCCTCTCCTCTTTCCTGGAAGTTTTCTCCTGTCTCTTGTCTTTTATGAACCCACTTCCTCTCTGTTTTCCTACCAATTTCTAGTCCTCTGCTTTTCAGCCTCTTTCTTCATGTCTGTGTTTGTCTGGATGCAGGAGCACACACTCAGATCCCTGCTATCCTGACTTTGTGTACTTTTCTTGAGTGACCTGACCCAAAATTAGAACTTCACCCACCATGAGCCTCCTTCCAGTTTATGTCACTAACCTAATGTAGCATGACACTCATCCATTTATTTCACTGCCTTCAAATCAACTGTATGTTTTCCCCTAGAAGTTTAAATTCAGTATGTCTCAAACAGAAAATTTTACCTTCTCTCAATCACTTAATTATCACCTTTGCAGGCACGGATGCCACAATTCTCCACGTTGCGTGGTTATTCTCGACTTCTTCATATCCCTACTTCTGGCATGTGATTTAGTGATTCCTGTGGCCTCTCATGTCATTACTGCCATCAAATCCATCTGCTGTCCTCCTCACCCCATGTTCCTGCCCTGGCCTACGCCTTCATTACTTCCCACCAGAGGGCTTAAAAGTGCTACTGGTCTTGCCTTGAGTCCCGCCTCCTCCAGCCCATCCTTCCTACAGGTGCCCCATCCAAACACAAATCTGACCGTGTTACTCTCCTGCTTAAGATACTTCACAACTTCCTATGTCCTGTGGGATAAAATGCAAACACTTGCCATCAGCACACAAGGCAGGTTACAGTGCTGCCTGGCCCACATCTCCCCTGGCTTCAGTCACACTGAAGAACTGCAGTTCTCCTTGCAACTTCATGCCTCTCTGCTCCTGAGCCTGCTTCTCCTGCTGGAAATGCCATTTCCCCTTTCTCTGTTTTGCTATCTGCAGGTGAACACTGTCCCTAGGAACCTTTCCTAAATCGTATTTTAATTTTGCTCCTGAGTAGCTCTTGTGTATACCTTGTGATACTCAGTGGTGATCAAACCACACATGTAGCAATCATCTTTTCTTTGTCTGTTTTATTCTTGAATTTCAAGTAGATTAAGGACAAAGTTCCCATCTTTAGAGTTTCATCCTTATTACCTAGAGAGTGAAAGTTCACAAAAAGCATTTATTAACTGAATGAAAATTAACATTTGAAGTGTGGAATTTGCTTCAAAATGTGCCAACCTTTAGTTTTCAGATTTTGTAAATATAATAAATACAAAGTAACCTAAGCTGAACCAATTACATCTGTGTAGCCCAGTCTATACACCATGTATTTTTCTTTTTCCTTTGGGATTCATTTCTGTAGGTGAGTAATCCTCTAGACCCTAAACTCAGTGGGGGACCCTCACCATCCGTGTGCGGCACTGAACCTGCTGTCACACTATGCATCTAAGTAGAGGACTGGTTCTCCCCATGCTGGGCTGGGAGGGGAAATCCTCACTTAGGGACCACCAACCATGCAGTGTCATTTGGCTTCACTTCCTCTTCCAGGCCGAACCCTAAACTCTCTGTAATTCACTGTAATAATAATTCACTTTTTGTTATCAACCAGTTGCTGCTTCTTATGTATCAGGTAAAGCTAAGATACTATCCCATAGGTCTTTCAAATGCCAACAACTTGTATTTCCAGGTGAAACTACACTTGAAAACTACACTCCACAAGACAATTTTGTGAATGTTATGTGAATGATAATACTTTTAAATTTACTCTGCCTAAAATGTAAGTGTTGTGGATAAAATTATAGAAGGTATCATTTTTCTTCTAAAAGTAAGAATGTAACTTGAAGTCTATAAATGTCACTAAGACTCTGGAGGTATTTTCATGTCCTTCACGATTTTGTTCCACTCTGAAATATTTATTCCATCCTTCCACTTCCCTGCCTTGCTTTATGGCTATATCAGTAATTTTTAATGTATTGTCCTGTAGGGTTTCTGAGATCCTACAGGAATGAGGTAGGAGGACTACTCAATATTGTTTCTACCAGGAGTTGTGTGACTTGGACAAGTTACTTTACCTCTGGGGTCAGTTCCCTACTATGGAAAATAAGTTCTTCTACATGGGGGTGTGAAGATTCAATGAGTAAGTTTAGCACATAGTAAGTGCCCAATAAATATTATCTTACTGTATTCAGCATTACCATTATCATAGACGGATGTTAAGTCTTCAGGGACAAGGGAAACAACCTATATCGTCCATGGGTCATTTCTGTCTTTGTTTCTTCTCACTCCTTTTCTTTTCTTTCATTTGCATTTCTCATTTTCTGTGTTATTCCTTCATGTTCCCAATAACCTTCCTGTTACCTGTTTGCTTCCTGCATTCTGTGTAGCATCCTACGTATTCACCCATTCTCCATCTTCTCCTTCATGCAGCAGACCATGTGTCAACATATGCGGAGTTTGTGCAGACGCACAGACCCTCTGGGGAGTATATGTTTGAATTTGATGAGGAGGAGCAGTTCTACGTGAACCTGGATGAGAAGGAGATGGTCTGGCCTCTACCAGAGTTTATTCACACCTTTGACTTTGGTGCTCAGAGGGGTATTGCTGGCATCGTCATGGCAAGGAAGCACTTGAACACCCGGATCAATGGTCCAAACAGACTTGGGCCACAAATGGCACTGCCTATAGCTGCCTGTTCCTCTCAGAGGGGTATTGCTGGCATCGTCATGGCAAGGAAGCACTTGAACACCCGGATCAATGGTCCAAACAGACTTGGGCCACAAATGGCACTGCCTATAGCTGCCTGTTCCTCTAGAGTCCAGCTGGAGGGATGGGAGGGCCTCTCTGCCACACATAGAACTAGAGGCCATGATGCCCACTCATGAATGAGCCCCTTCCCTGAGAGCGAGAAATCTTGGGTCCACACAGCTGGGTTCTTAGGACAGCAGAGGAGGAGGCATTTTCTTCTTACTCAAGAGAAAGGCTGGGCTGAGGGGGCCAGGTCAGGAGCACGAGAAGCTGTGACCCTGTCCAGGAGCCCTAGGGGAGCAGGAGGATGGGCCTGGGAGAGGTGGCCCCTAATCTGGTGAATATAGGACTTGGGGTGGTGGAACCTTTAAGAATCAGCCAATGGCAGTAGGCTCCTTGGGTTCTATCCCCTTTTGGAGCCCCCACCGAGGTAAGCGTCTTTCCCAAGGAGCCTGTGGATCTGGGCCAGCCCAACACCCTCGTCTGCCATGTTGACAAGTTCTTCCCACCAGTGCTGAACATCACGTGGCTGCGCAATGGGGAGCCAGTCATTGAGGGTATTGCAGAGACCATCTTCCTGCCCAGCAAGAAACTCAGATTACACAGGTTCCACTATCTGACCCTCGTTCCCATGGCCGAGGACACCTGTGACCTCCAGGGGGAGCACTGGGGCCTGCACCAGCCTCTCCTCAGGCACTGGGGTATGGAGCGCCCTCCCTCTGCCCTCACGGCCTTGGCACCACCTTTATTTCCTGGGCCCATCGCCCCTCAGCACCTGCCTTCCTCAATCCCATGTTTTATGGTCACTTTATCCAAATTTCACCATCTCATGGTTTCGAATACCCAACACCTCCCACATCCAAGGCCAGCCCCTGCTCTCTGTACCTTATAACTCTGTCTTCCCTTGGTGCCCCAGAGGTCCATGAACTAATCCAGGTGCCTGAGACCATGGAGATGCTGGTCTGTGCCCTCGGCCTGCTGGTGGGCCTGGCGGGGGTCCTTAATGGCACCATTGTCTCAAAGACCAAGCGATCTGACAGCATCCCCGGGTCCAGGGGCTCCTATGAGTCATCCTATAGGTGTATTAGGGACAGAGTGGAAAAGACGAGGTAACAAGTTAGGGGTGAAGAGTGGGAAAGAGAAACACTTCACCAGGGGCTCTTTGAGCATTGATGTTTTACTGCCATTGGGCTGGATAAAAACATTAACAAATGTAATGAGAAATGACATTCATTGAGTTGCTTACTATGTTCTAGGCACTATTCTAAGTGCTTCTCATGTGTTCACTTATTTACATCTGGAGGTTGGTTCTTATTTATTTCATGTTACAGAGCAGGAATCAGACACCGGGAGAGGTGAAGACCACACAGCTTCAAAGTGCAAAGCTTGGATTTAAACCCAGGCTTTGGGCCTGCAGTGGCTGCAGTCTTGTCCAGTATTTAGATTATTTCATCTGCAGTCACTATCTGTCTTCCTACATTTTACACAGCCTTAATTTTCTTCTGCCCGCAGAGTGATGTTCAGAACTTCCAATGCTATGTTAAACATTTCCAGCAACGAAGGACATCCTATCTTTTGCACAATCTCAAAGGCAATCCACCTCATTTCTTTGAAATATATATGCTATAGATTTTTGGTTCACTACCTTTAACATGTCATGAAATTGATTAAATTCTGTCTATGTCTTGAGCTGAATTCAGTTTAAATTAATATGAATTTTGCGGAGTCCACTAATGTGTTAACCACATTATATATTTTCTGACACTGAAGAATCATTGCATTCCTAGAATAAATCTAAAATTGGTCAAAACGTATTGTTTTTATAATGTACTGTTGGATTCAGTGACATGGCTAAAATTAGTCCACAATCCTGTTCTCCTGTACTATTCTTAGCTGGCTCTGGAAATATAAATGAACCAACCTCATAAAATGATCTCAAAAATTCTGTTCCATTCTATGTTCTAGAATCACACGTGTAAGAGGCATGATCTGCTCCTGGAAATGTGGGAGGACACCCTCATCTGCAATAAGATCAGGACAGGGCCCTTTGGAAGGCGATTCTTTGCTTCCCATGACAATTTCTTTGATATTCTCTACTCTATTTTAGTTTTCTATTTCTTCCTGTAGTTTTGACCTTTATATCTTTCTAGAAACGTATCCGTTTTATCTAAATTTTCAAATTTATATGTATAGAGTTGGTCGTAAGATTTTGCATTTTAAAATGTGTATAAATGTCATTTACCCTTTTCGTTCTGAATCTCCTGTATTTTCCTTAGGAGTCTTGCCAGAGGTCTCATTAAAGTTTTCATTGCCTCAAAATTTGATTTTATCTTCTCTATTTTTATATTTCATTGAATTCAGCTTTTGTCCTTATTATTTACATGTATTTTCTTTTTGCTGTTTTTCTGCTTTTCCATCCTCTTAATTCACATAATTAGCTCATTTGTTTACAGTCATTTTACTCTAACAAAATTGTTTAACAGTCTGACATTCTATGCAGCATTTTGAATGAACTTATTTCATCTTTCTATAAAGACTAAACATCTATTATGTTTTCAGTTATTTCCTCTTCCTCCACTATTTCCCTGACTTTCTAGACGTCTAATTATTAAGATGTCAGATGTCTGTTTCTATCCTTCATTTCTCTTCACTTGTCCTTTACATTTTCTATTGTTTACTCGATCATATTGTCCTTGGGACAGTTTCTCAGTTTGGCTTTTTGTTTATTAATTACACTTCAGTTGCAAAAGTCCTATTTCTTGTCTCATTTATTATGTTTCTTATTCCAATCTTTATCAAAGCTCAATATTTGTGCTTGATTCAGTGGCTTCTTGCTTTTGCTTCAAATTCCCAAATTCTCCTTTACTTCTCTATTTAAGCCCTTTCTATTGTGAACTAGGGGACATTTGGAAGAAACACACAAACCAATAGAATGTACGTTGAATGGTTATCACCGCAAGCACCCATGTAACTAGTACCCGGGTGAAGAAATAGACTGTTGCCAGCATCCCTGTGCCCCTCCTTAGGCCAGGAGGTAGTGTGTAAGCTTTTCAGGAGCCAAAGGCTGCTGATATCCATAATGCCTAGCATTGCTCCTGGTACACAGTAGGTCCTCCATAAATATCTCTTGTAGAAGTATTTTATTATTTATTTAGTGTGTACTTCTTAAATGTTTTCCACCTTCAAGTATTCCCACTTATTTGAAGTTAGTTGCAGCCATATGATTTACATTGGAAAATGAAATGCGAGAAGTGTGTTCTTTCTAGGAGGGATCATTAAAAGCCAGTGAATAAATTCTTAGGTTCCCTTCATTCTGCTGGGGAGGTTCTGGGAGCAGATGTGCAGGAGAAAGACTGTCAGCCTGACTTCCTGAGTACGATGATGAGCAGAGCTTCCTGCATGACTTACTTTGGACGTGTAACATGAGCCAAACCTGGATATCTGGGTATTTGTTAGTTTAGCACAGCTGATCCTATTCTTACTGTGTAAAAGAAATTGAAGAGAAGGTGCTCAATGAGACTTCAGAGAAGCTGAGAGACAAAAGAACTAGGAGGATGTTTCATCCCATAAGCCAAGTGCACAGTAATTTCAGGGACAGTTTACAATGCAACATGCTCAAAAGGCATCAACTATGGTAAGTGTTCACTGGCCTGGTAGCAAGTGGTTATTAAAACCCCTTTCAAGAGCATCTTCACACCCGATGCCCAACTCCCACCTCCTTCCACTTTCACCATCCCCTGGCTCGGCCTCACTGCTACTTGACAAATGGGGACAAAGAGAGGGTGAGATGATTTCTTCTTAGGGTACCCCTTGATAACCATCTGAGGCAGTGTTGTCTGTTGGGTGGACCACCTTCTCGTTAGGGAACTGTGAGGGGTAGAAAATGAAGGGACCAGGTGGAAAGGGATGGAGGATACAACACTCAGCTGGGAGTCCTAAGCCCGCCGGGTTTTTTCTTCTGCAGGTATCAATTTTTCTGAGTCAGAGGTTGAGTCACCCACTTCACATCTCCTTTAAAGCTCCAGTTCCAACTTTCCTTTGAATCTCTGCTCTTCAACTCCAATGACTGATGTACCTCAAGACTCCTCTACCTCCTGGCTGCCTTTGATCCTGCTGCACATAGCACTCAGCAAAGGGCCTGACTCTTAGAAAACACTCTATCAATATTGAAAATTTGAAGTCTAGTGACAAGGTGGTCCCAGTTTGGATGGTCTCTCAGCTCTTGTCTCCTCTGGGACCTGTCTCTGCACTGCATCCTTCCTTAGAAATCCCAGAGTTTCATAAACACCTGCATATGTCAGAGTGAGACACATCTGATACCTTCTTTCTGTGACTCCAGGGACATTCCTCATCTCCTGACACCCTCAGTTCCCTAGGAGCACATATCCTGTTCCTGTAATGTGGGTGCAGATACCTCAGCTTCTGATCCTGACAAGTGTTAGTCCAGAGATTGTTCACTCCACTCGGGGTACTGCCCTAACCTGTAACATGAGTACAGGAGACAAGCAGGAAAGAGAATGACTCTGACTGGATATGGTTTGTAATTTGTAATGTTAACTGCTCAGTGACTCTGAGGGTAGGATTTATGTGCTCTGGGTCTGAGGATTTCATAATGATCTCGATTTGAAGACTTTCTGCTATTCTCATGACCTCCTTCCATCGTTGAATCCCTGGATTGAAATCATATTAATTTTATGCTGCATAGGTTTCTCACAAGTTTCCTGTGAAGCCAAAAGGGAAAATAAGACAGATAAAGGGTCCTTATTTACTATATACTGTCTTCCTTAGCTTATTATGTGACAGCTGAAATTACTACGCAAAAACAAGTCAGCAGCATTTTCCTTTATAGTTTTTGAGGAAATGAGGCTGATCAGGGATAAAGATGTTTTAAAAAGAAAAAATGATTGTGTCCTATTCCCTAGGTTAAGAAGATTATGAGAAACATGATTGGTTGTCCTTGTGTGTGGCTTCTCTTTCCTGACTCCCTGACTCAGTCCAGCCTCTCTGCAGACTCCAGCTGTATTTACTTATATCTGTGCCAGTGACGCCCAAGTCTGTGCCTTCAGCCCCACCTCTCCTGAAATTGGAGGAAGCCGGTCCCCCGATGGAAGATATTATTTGCAAGGGGAGATGGGCAAGAGGAGCACAGTAGCTTTCGGGAATTGACCAGGGACAGGTGCCCAGGGACACACAAGGCCCAGAAGATGCTTGTAAGAAGCCAGGGAGACTGAAGGCATCAACTGGATGTATAAGAGAGCTGCTGTGCACTGATTGTGTGTATCAGGAGTGAAGAATCCATCCTCTACACGAAAAAGAAAGCTTACAACAAACATGTCCTCTACCTTGACCAAAAGGTGTCAATATGAGACGCAAAACACATAACAATGTTGGATTGTTAAGAAAAAAAAAAAGACCAGTGTTTGAAAAAGAGTGCTACATGTATTGCTTTGCTCTTTCCCCAGTGGGGAGTCATTTCTGTCTGTATGAAAATTAAGACAGGAGGCCTAGGCTGGTGGATGAATGCAGACTTAGACGACAAATGACGTCTATTGGATGCATTCAAAAGTCCAAGCCGTATTTGGTTAAGGAGTATTTGTGATGGCACACAAAGAAAATGGTTAAAGTGTATTAGATTATATTTATGATTTTAAATTCTGATGTTCATTTAACTTCTTAATGGTAATGATAAAACATGCTCTCAGTAAGGTATATGTTGAATTAGTGCTGTGGGAATATGGGTCCTATCAGGCAGATTTGCAGTCTGCTCACCATTGAATAGTTAAGAATAGTGGTCTGAGACATAAATGGATGAGGGCACTAAACTTGATTTGGGGGCAGCTCACTGAAATACAGTCAATTCAGAAGAGTGTCATGTGTAACAGGCCCCATTATACAATAGTTAACATATCCCCATTTTCATGGTTCTCTTCTTTCCTATGTTTAAACCAAAATGAACTTCTTTATTAACTCCTACTGTCTACTAAAACCCTCAGAGAAAAGTGATGAGAGATGATTTGGTGCATATTTTTAAAGGAAAACAAACAGTCATGTTGGGTTTTGATTATTTGTGGTGCTAAGAAGAAGGGAACATGGTTGGAGGCCCAGTGAGAGAAACAGTGCTTTGAATCAAAGAGCAGAATGATAGAAACTGACTTCAGAGCAACTTCTTGGCAGCAGTATCCAATTTGGAAGTTGAAGGTCTGTCCTGGAGCCAGATGCTAACGAAACACAGCAAATGCTTTTCCTAAGGCACAATAGTCTTTTCAGTGAGCTCAGGAACCCTGTGGGGGTAAAAGACAAGTTATCCCAGGTTGCCAGCCTCCTTCCTGTAAGTCCAGGAGAGAAAAATTATGGTGAGAGGATGCGTCTCAGGCTGATAAATAACAGAGTTGATCTCTGCTTCCTTCAGCAATGGAGCCAAGCAATGCTCTTTCCCCACTTGCCTGAAGGCTGACATTGAAAGAGGGGTTCATGCCTGAGATTCCCTTCCTGGAGGAGCCTCAGTGTTACAATGCACAGAAAGGACTCATATCCTCCTGCAACCCACCCCACAAGGAAATCAAAGCAGGAATATTACCTGTTTATGCAGATCCTCGTTGAACTGAAATGAAAGACGAAAGGTTATATAATCAGCCATTGAAACCACCTCAGATAATTAGAGAAACATTTCCATCCCACCAAATTCCATTGCCCATCACTCAATGGACGCTCCGCAGGAGCCTGAGTACTTGGGACCTCATGCATCTGGCTGCATTAAGATCCCAGCCTGGGATCCCTCTCTCGCTATAGGTCATGTTTGTTCCCCGATTATCTGATATCAGTGGCCTCTAGAGCTTTCTGACATTTCTTTTCTGTCAAACCCCTCATCGTGGAATAAGTGTGAATATGCCAGGGGAAGGTAAGTCCCGCTCACCCTGCAGGCTTTCTCACCTTTCTTGCTCCTCCTGTGCATGAAGATGCCCACTCCACAGATGATGAGCCCCAGCACGAAGCCCCCAGCTCCCGTCAATGTCTTACTCCGGGCAGAATCAGACTGTGCCTCTGGGAAGGACAGACCCAGGTTTAGTGTCACCTCCACCAGCTGCATCCCTACTCATGTCCTGTCTGAGATTCTGGAGCCTGATGCAGCATATCGGGATGAGGACAGTGCAGCGGAAAAAGCTTGCTAAGAGGAAATTCAGAAAGAGCCACCCTCATATCTGGAACAGGGGTGTGACCTCAACAAGGTGGCAAATGCTGATTCTGGAAGTTGCCTCTCAAAATGCCTGAGAAGAGGCTAAAATGCTGAAGGAAGAGAACTGTTCCTATGTGTGAGGTCAGTTCCTAAGTGTGAGGGTTTCGAGACCAGTCAGTGTCCCTAGATTCTCTGACAAGGGGGAGAACTATGAATCTTCAGGAACCCCTAAGCCAAGGTCAGGAAGTCTCCATTTCCCTGGCTTCAAACTATGCTCAGGAGCTGGTATAGAAGAAAGATGGGGTTTGGACATGGCCCCAGGGTATAGATGCAGAAGATAAGATGAGTGGACCCCAGAGCCAGAGAGTCCCCTGCTCTTCAGAGGTGGGGTCTAGAGGGTCATCAGAGACTCACTCCACTCCACGGTGACAGGACTATCCAGGCTGGTGTGCTCCACTTGGCAGGTGTAGACATCTCCCTGCTGGGGGGTCATTTCCAGCATCACCAGGATCTGGAAGGTCCAGTCTCCATTACGGATCAGGTTGGTGGACACGACCCCAGCTGTTTCCTCCTGTCCATTCAGGAACCATCGGACTTGAATGCTGCCTGGGTAGAAATCCGTCACGTGGCAGACAAGCAGGTTGTGGTGCTGCAAGGGCCCCTTCTTGGAGGGGGAAACATTCACCCTAGGCTGGACTAGGAGCGTGGAAGAAAAATAATGAAATAGAATTTGAGATTGTCCTTCTTTCCTTCCTTCCTTCCTTCCTTCCTTCCTTCCTTCCTTCCTTCCTTCCTTTTTTTTGAGACATAATCTCGCTCTTTCTTTCTTTCATTCTTTCTTTTTGTTGAGATGGAGTGTCACTCTGTTGCCAAGTCTGGAATGCAGTGGCGCAATATTGGCTCACTGCAACCTCCACCTCCGGGCTTCAACCAATTCTCCTTCCTCAGCCTCCCGAATAGCTGGGATTATAGGTGCCTGCCACTTCACCTGGCTAATTTTTGTATTATTAGTAGAGACAAGGTTTCTCCATGTTGGTCAGCCTGGTTCTCTAGGAGCACTTGACCAACGCCTGACCTCAAGTGATCCACCCGCTCGGCCTCTCAAAGGGCTGGGATTACGGGCCTGAGCCACTGCATCTGCCCAGATTATTATTTCTTAGGCATGTTCACTATGTAATTGATTCCTAGATGTTGAAAATAGGAATAATGTGATTAGGCTAGTGGGTAAGGGTAGCATTGAAAAGATAGAAATAGACCTTCAAGTAGAGCATGCATGATCTTGAATAAAATAATAGTTAGTAAGTATATAGCGGAATGGCAGGGAGACAGAGTTTGCACTCTGTAGCACATTTAGGAGAAATTTTAACCAAAAGTAATTTGGGCAAAGAATATTTGATCAACTGTGAAATTACCTACCTTTTCAAAGTTCTATCTTGATACAAAGGAAGCAAAATTTACTCAAATAATATCTTGAAATTAAGATATACAGACAATGGCATTATGGTGGCCTGTGAATCTAATAACTTCATGAAAATACAAAGAAAATGAAGAGAGCTTTACATGTCTTATTCTGTAAAAAACCTATGTATTTTTTTACCTCACCTACAAAAACTCAAAATCTTCATATTTACAGAATATCCTGAGCTCCTACATGCTTGAGTAGTAGAAATCCCGTCCTTTTTCAAGTTCCTCCTCTGTGCTGCGTCTTCAGGTCCCATGAAGGTCTCACAGATGACCAGGTGTTGCCTCCCTCTGCATCTTTGCATTTGTGCCCCAGCTTGTCCTGTTGTTCTCAGGTGAATTTCCACACTGCCACTGGCAACTTTTCTTTTGGATCTCTGCCACCAGTACCTTTTTCCTCCTCAGAAAGCAGAAAAGGCCAGGCATGGTGGTCATGCCTATAATCTTAGCACTTTGGGAGGTTGAGGCATGAGGATCACTTGAGCCCAGGGTTTTGAGACCGGCCTGGGCAACATAGTGAGAACCCATCTCTAAAAAGAAAAATAAATTAGCCAGACATGGTGGTACGTGTATCTGTAGTTCTAGCTACATGGGAGGCTGAGGCAGGAGGATCACTTGAGCCCAGGAGGTTGAGGCTGCAGTGAGCCATGATGGTGCCACAGCACTCCAGCCTGGGAGACAAAGTGAGAACCTGTCTCAAAAACAAACACAAACACAAAACAAAAAACAAACACAGAAAAGGGTCAAGTGCTCCTAGAGAACAGTTCATTCAGGGAGATCCACTAGAGAACAGCTCTTTCAGAGGACTACCCTAGAGAACAGCTCATCAAGAGGAATGTCTCAAATTAGTCTTCTAGGTCCCTAATCACTCAGTTCTTTCCTTTCTACTTCCTGGAGAACACAAATACCCTAACATGGCGCTGGGCCAGGTAAAAGTACAGTCTTGAACTGACACACAACCCTTACTCCCTATTGTATTTTTGCCTTGTTTTCAGACTGATCCACATTGTCAGCCTCTTCCCTCAATGTGAGTTTATTTCAGGGGCACCTGTGTCTCACTACTTCATTACCTCGGTTAACTCAATGTCCATTACACTATTCAACTTATGTCTAAATCTCAGTTGTGAATTACCTACAATTTCTTCCCCATAGAGCTTCTGGGAACCATGAAATCAGGGGGAATACTTGGGTATCTGTTTTAAGGTCCCAGAACATTCCACGAGAGGCATCTTGCTCAATATTCTTTGACAGGAGCAGGTCAGCCTGGAGCCACATCAGTGACCTCCAGGGTGCGCTGGAGTTAAGGCCTGATACCCAATGGCCTCATTTCTGACCCAGTTCAAATACATTTCACCAAGGCAAGGATTCCTGTTTGTTCTAGTTGCCTTCTCTAATGCCCAGAAAACATTTGCTCAATTACTTCTAGATTTGGGTGGACATCCACCCTGGAATTGTCACTACTTCTTTCCTCCCCCTTCCACCTCTCCCTTGCCTCTGTGTTTTCCCTGTTCTAACTCATGCCTTGATTGCAATTTCCCTGACAAATAATAGCAGTTTCCTACCTCATCTCCCTGCCTCTGGTCCCTCCTCTAGCCAGCACCCTTAGTAGTCTTCTGAAGACACATCTCCAACCTTCTCTTTTTCATTTTTCAAAAATCTTCAGTGTTCTGACAATACTTATCTGGCTACATGGGAACCTCTAGGGAGCTGATTACAAGCAGAGATCCCCAGACCTCCCCACCCAGGGAATCTGAGTCTGGGGGCACTGAGTCTGGAGATCTGTGCATCACAGAGGATCTCCAGAAGAGTCTTCAGAGGAGTGAGGTTGGGGACCTGCGGGCCTGGAGGAGAAACCCACACTCCTTAGGCTGGCATCAGGGCTGTCTGCAATCTGGCAGTTGATTACTGTGAAAGAAAATGCTGCCATGTCACTGATTGGTGCCTCTACAAAGTCTTAGTAACAGTTTTTGCCAATTGCGTTATTTTTATTTGAACACCTCTCTCAACCAATTACCTCAGCAACTTTCCTAAGCTCATGTCACTCACCTCATCCCCACCCAGTGTGTCCACCTTCTCACTCATAGCAGGTGAACTTCCTTTCACTTTCCAGGAACAAGAAAATCAAAGGTGTGATCTCCCCAGCTTCCTCCTCCTCCTCCCTTCATTTTTTTCCTCTTTCTAGAAAAAAGGTCCAGGGCTCAATCCCACATCCTGATACTACTCCCTCAAGTCCCTCAGGTTGGTGCACCAGGCTCCCCACCCCACAAGTTCACAGGAGGAAGCCAAAGCTCCAAGGCCTTCCTGTCCCATCCTTGAGAAATCCTCTTACTGCACACACCTCACCTCTCTCCATCCCTTTACACCCAGACTTCCTGAAGGAAAAAGACGAATGAACTGAGACACTGCCCTGTGACAGCCGTGGGGAACCCAAGACAAGTAAAATCCATCTCAGCCCCGAGGAGGATGCGCCACACTCAGCCTCATGCACCCCCTCCCATTCCAGCTCCTGCCGCTGCGGCCAACCTGCTCTCCCCAGGTCTCCCTGGTTTCCAAACCCACTTTCCATCTTCTGTTTTCTGACCTTCCCAAGTCACTGGCACCGCTGTCCACTGTGCTGCTGAGGTCACCTCCCCTCAGCTTCCAAGACTCTTCTCTGCGGGCCTCTCCTCACACTGCACTTGGGTTTTTTTGGTCTCTTTCACAGGCTTTTCTGTCTTGGCCAAATCACAACTGTCCAGTTCCCAGGATCCGGTCCTTTGCTCTTCCCCCTGGGTCCCCTCTCCCTGGATGGTCTCATGTATCTCAGTCTCCTCCCCGGCTGCAGACCCTTCTGTCTACCTGCCCATCAGACCACCCATCTGCCCCTCAAGCACCTCAAACCCAGCTACCTCCCTGTAGGTTTCTTCTCTGTGTGGCCTGCTGTGCCATCTCCACCTCCATCTCCACACCATACCCTTGTGCGCTGTCCTGTGGCTTCCTTTTTTCACCCCACATGCAGTCAGCTGCCAGGCCTGATGAAGTCCCGGGGGTCTCTCTGCTCTCGTCCTCCTCACTCCATGCTCAGCCCAGTCCAGGTCCCCGCGCTCGCTCCCCTGACAAGCTCCAGATGGGCTCCCCCCATGAATCCCCAACCCAAAGTCCCCTTTCCGCCCGGCACTAAGGTCCCTTAGGCCAACCCGGCTGCTCCTGCGCCCTGGGCACGGGCCCGCGGGGCTGCCCTGGGACCGCCGGCCCAAAGCCCTCACTCACCTCGGCGCTGCAGGGTCATGGGCCCGCCCAGCTCGTAGTTGTGTCTGCACATCCTGTCCGGCACTGCCCGCTTCTCCTCCAGGATGTCCTTCTGGCTGTTCCAGTACTCCGCAGCAGGCCGCCCCAGCTCCGTCACCGCCCGGAACTCCCCCACGTCGCTGTCGAAGCGCGCGAACTCCTCCCGGTTGTAGATGTATCTCTCCAGGAAGCGCTGTGTCCCATTAAACGCGTAGCATTCCTGCCGTCCCTGGAAAAGGTAATTCTCTGCGGGGAGGGGGCGGACATGAGCGGAGGCGCCACTCTCATCTAATCCTCTTTCTCCCTCTCTCTCTCAATATTAACGATTCTTCCCAAATCTTCCCACCCAGGGCTGGATTTTAAAATAGGAGTTTTCCTAGTACCGAGTTCTGTGGTCCTAAGCGGGTCGCAGAGCCTCTCCAGGCCTGTTTTCTCACCACGCAGAGAGAGAATTTACTGAAAAGAATGAGCTCAGGGGCACTGAGTGATCACTAGGGAGGGGCGAGCACTGAGGGGAAGGCAGTCCCTTCTGCTGGTGGCTGGAGGAGGCGGAGACGTTTCACGTGGGGTCACTGGGAGAAAAAACAGGGGCGGGAGGAGCTGGGGACGTGGAGGGCGGAGCTGCTCCCCCTACTTAACTCCCTGACTGACATTTCCATCCTGATGTCAGTCCTGGTTCAAATGCCACCTCCTCCAGGAAGCCCTCCCTTCCTTCTTTCTCTTTTCCATAGCTAAGCGCTCTCTCTTCTCGACCAGTTTCTTGAGAATTCCTCAACTTGCTCCTGTTGTTTTGCATGTAGGAGATGTAGAAATATATTTCTTAAAACTTTCTTCAACTTTGGTATAAGAAAGACTCTGTAGCCTGAAAGTTAATTTTCAAACATGGCTGCAGAAAGACTTGGTGTCAAAAGATGTGGAAAGTATTTTACACAATGAAAATCACCACAACAACCAGGGACCTGTGGGGGTAGAGTCCTTTGGGTTTAGAGGCATTGATGTAATTTTTTTTGGCAGTTTTTATGGTTTTATTTACACACAAAACGTGGACATGAACTTTCTACTCATTTTCTTAGCTGTGCACCCTGGTACTGGGGTTGGTGACTCTGATGGCCGGCTGGGTGACTCTTTCCATGATGACTTTGCAGTTCTGGAGGAAATTTTGTGAGCGATCTCAGCACAGTAAGATTTGTTGCACATCAGCAGCACTTTCAGCTCCTTGAGGCTGTGGACCAGAAACTTCTGGAAGCCACTGGGCAGCATGTTTTTTTTGTTGTTGTTGTTGCTCCCATAAGCAATGTTGGGCATCAAGATCTGGCCCTTGGACCTTCTACGAACCCTACTGTTAAGACCTCTGGGTTTCCGCCAGTTATGCTTAATTTTGACATTTCAGTCTGATTGGTGCCTCATGAACTTGTTGGTCCTCTTTTTGAGGATCTTATCCTTCATGAGGAGTCTGAGGGAGGCCATGATGTGGAGGAAGAGATGGCTGCCAGCTGCATAGGCAGCACCGAGGAAGACAGCATTGATGTAATTTTTACATGAACAATTTTGGCAGCCTTTCCCACATGCTGTTCTTCCTAGGGAGTGCCATGAGCAGTGTCTGGCAGGTGTGTGTCTACACAGAATTATCAGTGACACGGCACATGTTTGTTTCTGTTTGAGTATCTTCAGGCCTGCTCTGTTCTTGGGCACACTGGGGAAATTAAGGTGCTGTGATTGTTCTGCTCATCTGTTTCATGCTCCACAAATTAACTTCTCCAGTTTATTAACCTCACCCCTAGCAGAAGTTGCACAGCTGGTGGCAGAGGATAGTGGAGATGGGGTAGGGCTGGGCTCAAGGGCACCATGGAGTCCACCTTTAGTCTCCAGTGTCATTGCTAAGGCAAGATCCCAGGTCTTGACTCAGATATCCTGACCTGCCTCTTCTCCTGGTGCCTTGGGCCCCAGACCCTAAAATTCCAGGCCCAGAGCCCCCCAGCTCCTTGAGTCCAGATTCCTCCTCCTCTGCCATCCATCCGCCCCTGCCTGTTCAATTGCCCCACTCTGAGTGTGGATTCTCCCATTTTCATTTGTTAGTCTTTGTTTCTCCTCCTCAATCACCAGTAAGAGAACGTTTTTCATTCAAGAATAAGAATTTTGAATTTTTTCTTTGCAACATTTAATTTTTTTAATTTACCCAGTCTTAGGTAATTTTTTAAGTACATTTAACTTTTGAAATGGAATTTTACCTGCCAAGTAGACATAAGCAATGAGGGGTTTTATGGTGTAATTTGAAACCTTCATTTTTTTTTGTATATAAGAAACTTTATCCTGTTTGTGGAACCCTTAGCAATTGAGTTGCCCAGAGCACGGTTTGAAACCACTGATCTGAATGAATTCGTCTCTTATTCAGAATAGGATATATTAAAAACCTCTAGCTCCCTATGGGTTGTCTCAGCCAAGCTTTTCTCCCCCAGCCTCTTTAAGCTATAGCCTGGCTCCTCAGCCCTTTGGTCTTGTGCCCTGTTTGAGGTTGGGGATGTGTGTGGAGTTGGGGGAGCATGCAGGGAATTGTGGAATCAGCCCTGCCCACTTTACCCACTCCCCTATGGCTCCAGCTCTCCCTCCAGCAGGTTTTGATTGAACATTCATTCTACGCAGGGAGCTCCAGTAATCTACCCTCAGTCCCTGTCACATGGCTCCACTGCCTCATCTCATTCCCCCTACAAACCTCAACCCAGCCTTTGCCCGTCCTCCCTTTCACTGCCCAGCATCACATGCCCCCTTCTGCTCTCTGCTCCCCCACCTCTGGGTTTCCTTGGTGGCTCCCAACACTGTCCCTCATCCCACATGACAGCTCTGCCTATGGGATGGGGGCGCTGCATCCGTCACTTCCTCCTGACACTGTTCAGTGTCACCAGTGCTGCTCCAGCCTCCTCTCTCCCCAGCCTCACCCCTCTGCAGTTCCCAGGGCTGAGCCGTCCTGCTGGTTAGTTCTCAGCACCCTTCTGTGACTACAAGTTCAAGTTCTCCTCCCCTTCCTGGACAATGAACCCAAGGTAATAGATAAGAGGTTTTAGGGCTTGAGGGGCTGTATTCAGGAGATTCCAACCTTGCTACCCTGAAAGATGAGGAGGTGACATGATGTCAGTACCTTCTAGGTGTGTCCTAGGAGGGGTGTGGAGAGGTCTAGGAGGAAGGGTGTAAGCAGGAAAAGTGGAAGTCAGTGGAAAACTAAGGTACCTACTTTGCAGTCCTTCCTCTCAGAGTGTTGGTGTAAATTTGGACTAGAAATGTCCTGAGAGTACAATGGTTGAACTAGTTTACAGTCCCACCAACAGAGTAAAAGTGTTCCTATTTCTCCACATCCTCTCCAGCACCTGTTGTTTCCTGACTTTTTAATGATCGCCATTTTAACTGGTGTGAGATGGTATCTCAAGACAGTGTGGCAATTCCTCAAAGATCTAGAACTAGAAATACCATTTGACCCAGCCATCCCATTACTGGATATATACCCAAAGGATTATAAATCATGCTGCTATAAAGACACATGCACACATATGTTTATTGCGGCACTATTCACAATAGCAAAGACTTGGAACCAACCCAACTGTCCATCAGTGATAGACTGGATTAAGAAAATGCACACATATACACCATGGAATACTGTGCAGCCATAAAAAAGGATGAGTTCATGTCCTTTGTAGGGACATGGAGGAAGCTGGAAATCATCATTCACAGCAAACTATTGCAAGGACAAAAAACCAAAGACCACATGTTCTCACTCATAGGTGGGAACTGAACAATGAGAACACATGGACACAGGAAGGGGAACATCATACACCGGGGCCTGTTGTGGGGTGGGGGGAGGGGGGAGGGATAGCATTAGGAAATATACCTAATGTAAATGACGAGTTAATGGGTGCAGCACACCAACATGGCACATGTATACATATGTAACAAACCTGCACGTTGTGCACATGTACCCTAGAACTTAAAGTATATATATATATAAAAAGAAATATCCTGAGAGTATCCTGAGAGAAAAACAATGGATCATAGATGCCATAATATTACACCAGCCACAGGGAGGCAGCAGGAAGAAGAGATTTTTCACTTGGTTACTGCTTCCTTGGCTGTCTGATAACCTACACTCAATCCCTGTCATGCACCCACACAACCTCATCTCATTCTTCCTACAAGTCGCAACCCACTCTAGTACCCTAACCAAGTTCTGGGGAGGCTGGGAGAAGTACCTTTAATGAGAATGCCTTCAGGGGCTAAAACCTATCCCCCTCCCTCCCTTCTCTCCTTAATTGTCCAAGGGATGTGGGCTCCTGCTCCACCCTGGGGAATAAGAGGCATTCTTCGTGAGCACTGAATCCTCAGTGATCCTCAGAGCCTGGACACTCCAGCTTAGGGCTCTCTGCCTGAGTCCCCTCCAGGCTGGATGCAGACATGAACACGCCCAGGAGCCTGCACTTGCCAACTTCTCTCTCTGCAAACCTTGTCTGTCCAAGGTTATCCAGGACCTCTTGGTCCCATTTTCCCCAAAGACACTGACCACTGGGCACCTCTCTCTGTTTACTGTACCCATGTCCTTGGAGAGAGAATAGGCCAGTAGGGTAGCAAGCTATCCTATAGGGGATGAACCTCTTTCTCTAGCTGGGAAGAGAGGACACTGCCTTAGGGCAGGAGCCCCCGCAGCCTGTCTCAGAATTTGATCCCTTAAAGATAACGTCCCCTAGGAATTGTTCCCTGAGCCAGACCCTCCAAGAATGGCAGTTCGGCTCTTACCTGGAGTGGCCCTGCCCTGGACCACAGATGTGAGCAGCACCATCAGTAACGCCGTCAGAGCCACTGTCCGGGGGGCCGCAGAAACCTGCAGAACCATCATGGAGCTGGAAAAGGATGGCAAAATGAAAAGAGCTGCAGTCAGGAAAAGAAGGACTCGCTAAAGGGAGCTCCTGTTTGAAATATTAGAGACCATGAACCCAAGTAGTCTTCTGTGACCCTGGGATTGGACAGAGTCTGAGAAAAGAACCAATGGACACTGAGCTTTGTATGAGTCATTGCTCACTAGGCAGAAAGTTAGTATGAAAGGTCTGAAAATATAAAGCCTGTGATGCACTTAAGATGACGGAGGAAAGACAGTGATACTCATTTTAACCAGTCAGATAAGTCATGATGTTTGGGGAGATTATGCGTTTTCTTTGCTCTGAAGGTGATCTCAAATATTCTGCTGGCCCATCTACAGGGATTATCATTTCCCCAATTCTGCCACACCTCACACACCCACAGGACATGGTCTGTTGTGGAAAAAGTGCTATCTTAGTGTGTAAAAGGTCATTCAGTGGCATGACTTAGAGGGATTAGAGTACCCATCTCAGAACTCAAATGAGGTCTGAGTCTGTCTGTCTTGCCTTTGTCCAAGGGTGTGTTTAAGATTAGCACCCATTCATATTTACTTTCTCCCAGAGGTCTGTGAGTCCTGCGATGTGCAGGAGTTACCAGGTTCTTCCACAGGACTGTCATCAGGGTCAGGAGGGCTCAGTCTAGGGACCTTACACTGGGAGCGTGGACACACCACCTACCCTACCATGTAAATATGCAGCTTTAACGACACTGCCTCTCTTGGACTTCGATTCCTTGTCTTCAATATGGGGATGATATAACCTGCCTTATAGCAAAGCTCTTAAGATCAAATGAGATCAATAGGTCTGAAATTGCTTTGGAAAAATAAAGTCCATAGAGAATATAAATTGACTGGTAAATAAGGAAGAAAGTGAAAAAAAATCATCAAAGACCCCACCTCCTTCAAAGCATCTGATTCTATTTTGTTTAGAGTGAATATTTTTACAAACTTTCAAAGAACATTACTTCTTACTTTAGACACTTATAAATGTGATCCTGTTGGACCACCAATTCTAATTTCAAAAAAAATCAAATTGGCATCATTTCTTTAAATCAATATTAAAATGTAAATAGAAGGCTAGCATGTAAAATGCAAGAGAAGAAAATAATTATGTAGTAGAAGGTGTCTAGTAGGATTAAGGGGCCAGGAGAGGATTGTGGAGAAAAACTCAGTTTTTTTAGTAACTGCCTGGGTGGGACTTTTCTCCTTGTCATTTACCTGCCATAGATAATTAGACAAATACTTCCTCGATGTCTCAGGTAATTTATTTTTACAGTAGACATTAATAATACCTCCCTCAGGTTTAATATGAGGTTTAAATGAGGTAATGCATGCAAAGCACTAATAACAGAATCTCTCATGTCCTAATCTGTTAGTAATTATTATTTATGCAAGGTAAGGCTACCACAAATAAGATAAAATATTAACGTAATATATGTACTTCATCATTACATTAAATAGTAAATGTTTTGTGACCTTCTCTATGAGTATCAAATAAATAGCTCAAAATTGAAATATTTAAAATGAGACTAGAAAAGTATTTCTTAAATATGGTAAAGAGAATATAAAATAAAAAATTAACATTACCTGTAACAGAAAAACATTAGAGAAACCCTTCTTAAAAACAAGATCAAAATATGGGCGCACATTGTTACCACAGGTAATGCTGTCCTGGGTATTCTTATATGAAAATGAAATAACAAGACTAGTAATTTAAAGATAAAAATGTTATTACACTGTTTAAATACCAGGAAAAATCAAATACTAAGAAATCTGAAAAATAAAAATTATCTAGAAATTTCACTAACAAAGGTAACCAGGAATAGATAAACAATTAAAGATCAACTTCATTCAAGTTAATTAAAACCTCTAAATAGAAATTATAACACTTCTGCAGAAATGATTAAATAAAAAGGAGGTATCTCAGGGAGGTGGACCTGAAAGAAAGATTAATTATATATTTTATTAGATAGCACATTCATTCTTAATTATCAGCAGAATATTTTTGTAAAATATTGACAACATAACATAAAACATGATTTAAAATATAGTGACCAAAAAACATCAAAGATCATCTGACTGTCTGGGATGGGGGTGGGGCTCGGGAGAAGGAACATAATGGAAAACATTTGCCGTCAGAAGAAGGTGTAACTTATCTTTTTACATCTCTTTCTCTAACTCTGAAAATGAACTGTGAACTGGAGCTCTCTTGACCACGCTGGTACCTAAAATTCTCCCATCTCTTCCCCAGCACCTTCCAGCGTCCTCTTTACCCAGCAACAGAGAATGTCAGCTCTATGATTTCTCTGATAGGTGAATCCCAGCCATGCTGATTCCTCTCCACCCATTTCCAGTGCTAGAGGCCCACAGTTTCAGTCTCATCTGCCTCCACTCGGCCTCAGTTCCTCATCACTGTTCCTGTGCTCACAGTCATCAATTATAGACCCCACAACATGCGCCCTGAAGACAGAATGTTCCATATCAGAGCTGTGATCTTGAGAGCCCTCTCCTTGGCTTTCCTGCTGAGTCTCCGAGGAGCTGGGGCCATCAAGGGTGAGTGCTCAGGAGGACGCAGGAGCGTCGGGGTGAGTGATGGGGTGGTTCACATCAATTGCTGCTTCAGGGATCACAGATTTTAGGGGCTCATTGATCTATCTGGTCCTCATAGTCTATGTTCCCTCTGGCCCTCATAATAATAACAGCAATAACAGCCAGAATTTATGAGACTCCTGCATAGTTTCTTTCCCCATTTACATCTCACAGGAATCTTCAATGAAGATAATATTCCATTCATTTAGAAATTATTCCTTTTATTTAGAAATTATTTTGAAAAAACTGAAGCTCAAAAAGATGAATAAGTTTTCCAAGGTTACACAGCAGATCAACGAGCCAAGTTTGAAGTCCAGACCCAGCTCTGAGGGTCATACACTGCCTTCCCCAGATTCCTGCACACAGTGACCTACTATCAGGGCCCTCCTATCTCTCTGGGATCCCCAGCCTCTATCTTTTGTGGCTGCTTTACAGGAACTCCGAGCTATGGACTCTGCATTAGGAGACGAAGTGCAAAGAGTGTTTCTGTATCCTCCCTCTCTTCTAGGACCCTAGGGCTCTTCCTGGGTCTTTGTGGGTGGTCACAAGCTTTCCTCTCTCAAGACAGCAGGGTTGCATGGTCTTGATAGCCTTGTGATTCGGGTTCTGAGAGATTCAGGACTGCAAGGGAGGCCTAGACTTTTGATAGCTGCAAGGACTCAGCCAGAGATGGACCGTAGTGAATGCTCCTTTTTCCTGTAGCTGAAATCAGGGAGAATGACATCAAGCCTGTGCATGATGCTGTCATTCCAAAATCTAGTGATGGGGAAGGTTAGAATCCATAACGTACAAGATGCACACTGGCTTCAGACAGTTTTATTTAAGATGTGTAGAATAAAGAGGAGGTCAGGCTGGGTAGAACCAGAAGTATCTATTGCCCTGTTCGCGGTCACCTGAGTTATTTCTAATGTTATGTTATAATAAACACCACAATAGGCTTCTCTTCATAGATGCAAATACTTTTTAGTATTCTTGGTAGAAATTCCTAATGAGCTCAGCTGTCTCTTCAGGGCTTCCCTGCCCAGTCTCTTAACATTTAAACATGTCATTTACCTTAAAAACATAAGTGCAAACCAACTGATAAAAAACAACCTTGCCTTCAGTCTGCATCCTGTCCCAGAGACACTTTCTTTGTGTCCTCACACGTGGAGCTAAGCTTCTGACTTGTCTCTGGTACATCCCTGAGGATCCTCTCATCTTGGCCATCAGGAACCTCTACAGAAGGTCAAATTCAGTGGGTTCTTCTCAGTGCCTCTGACTTGAGTTACTAATAACATTTGCACTATAATCCACTTCTTTCTGATGAACTACCCTGTCCTTATTTTTCTCCTGTTTACCTGGATCCTCCTTATCATCTTTTAAACCACCTCTTAACTATCATGTTCTCTCATTATACCCTGAGATCTCAGCAATTCTGATTTTTGGCACTCTTCCTGGAAAATCTTATTTAACCTGCACCTGCCACTAATGACTCTCAGTTCTATGGCCTAAATTCCTCTCCTGAGACCACCCATAATCCACAAATATCTATGTATTATTTCTCCTTAGATGACTTTCAGGTCTTCTAAGTGCAATAGCCCCACAGTAAACTCAGTATCTTCTCCCGGTCAGGCTGTCTTCCCTGAGAGAAGTGGCTTTTGCCCTGTTTTCTGAATGCCTACATTGAAGCCATCTGTTCCCCAGGAAGCCTTCCCTGATGTGCTGTTTGGTCGCATCTTGTGTATACCTACGTATCTGCACTTATCCTTCTGAACCTGCTGTTGTCCTGTCACTTGTGTTTCCTTCTGTGACTTATACGCGTCTGCAGAACAGGACGTATGTATTATTTTTATTTGGGTATTTAGCATCTAACAGTGTTTGACATATAGTAGTCTTTTAATACATATTTTTGTCTGAATGGAAATGATATTTTGAAGAAAAATAATCTGTTCCATAGCTGGCTGATCTTTGGACTGCAGAACTTGTGAAAGTGTTTTTTAAAAAGCATTTTAAAAAGTACAAGGGACATTCATGTATTAAGAAGATGAGTTTCCAATAACTGCTAGAGGACTTTGTGTCTTTTTATTTTACCCTCTTTTTCCTGATGAGTCCTTTGAGTCCTTTAAACTGAGGAGCAAGCTAAGTTTCCTAGTGAAATACCTATAGGATTTGTTTTGTTTAGTTTCAAATACCACTCTTTGCTTGGCCACTTACTGTGTCAGGGAGTCATTCTCAGTGAAAAATAAGACACAGGTCATACCCTCTAGACACTTACAATTACAGTGGCAAGGAGTCATTCTCCTGTCACTGTAAGTGGCCAAGCACAGACTGGGTCCCCACATGTCAGGGCTGAAAACTCACAGGGAAATCTGTGAGTTGGGAGGTGAGAGCAGAAGAGTCCCGTAGTTCCTTCTCACTCTGATGCATTTATCATTCTAAACCCAGACTTTCACATACACATTCATCGTTTTCTTTCATGATAATAGTTGCTTTTATCCTCTTATCTTTGCTAATTCTTACAAACTAATAAAGACTAAGAAACAAAATAAATTAAATCCTACAGGTGTTCCAAACTCAGCAATAATTTCTAGTTGGCCTCTAAAACAAAAATCAAAATATAAATGTAAGAAAAGTTTAGAATGCTTAGTACCTGTGTGATGAAATAATCTGTACACTAAACCCCCAAGTCATGAGTTTACCTATACAACAAACCTGCACATGTACTCCTGAACATAAAATAAATGTTGAAATATTTTTAAAAAGGAAACAAAAGTTTGGAACAAATGCCAAAATAACTGTACTGTACTTTTGAATTTATATGCCCCAAATGAAAAATATTATCAACAAAGCTATACATTCTACAGTTTCATGTTCATAAACTAAGACAGAAACTTTAAAACTGTCAAGAGCCCTAAAATTTGAAGGATATTTTCTTCTTCCTCTCAATTTTGTATTTTTTTCTACCTTTTCTATAATAAGAAAAAGAAAATGTCCATTCCCCCACCCCCATGACTCTAAAAACAATTTTACATCTGTGTCATAGAAAAATTAAGATCTTAATGGGAGAGAAAACCTCTCTACTAGTTCCGCCAGTAGCCGTATGACCTTAGCAAGTTATTAATATGTAACTTCCCTGCATTTCCTTACCTGTAAAATGTATGATATGTATTTGCTTCATAGGGTTATTGTGACAATTCAGCGAGTGAAATATGTAAAGTATTTAGAAGGATGCCTGGCACAAGTAAGTGCTCAACAAATGTTAGCTGTCATTGTTACTATTACTATTGTGTAGGGTCAGGATGCCCAGACTTTCAAAGACCAGGAAGCAGCTTGACTTATCAGTGATAAACTTTTCATTTTGTTCTTTGCTCCTTTCTTTTTATAACTGCTCATCTGCTCTGTATTATTTCCTTTATGGTGTTGCTCCTTCTTCTTCCCCATATGTCCTTCCTTTGACCTCTTACCTTCTTCCTTTTTATATTCATAAGTCTTTATTCATTCTCTAGCTTTGACCACTTGCATATTCAAACTGACATTTTGTCGTGTTTTTCTCTACTGTCTTTATGCAGCGGACCATGTGTCAACTTATGCCGCGTTTGTACAGACGCATAGACCAACAGGGGAGTTTATGTTTGAATTTGATGAAGATGAGATGTTCTATGTGGATCTGGACAAGAAGGAGACCGTCTGGCATCTGGAGGAGTTTGGCCAAGCCTTTTCCTTTGAGGCTCAGGGCGGGCTGGCTAACATTGCTATATTGAACAACAACTTGAATACCTTGATCCAGCGTTCCAACCACACTCAGGCCACCAACGGTACGCCCTATCTTTGCCTCTTCCTCTGTAGCCCAACTGGAAGGGATGAGAGGGCCTCTCTGCCACCCTCAGACTAGGAAGCCTAAGTGCCCCCTGCTGTGTGATCCTCTTCCCCTAGTGGCCATGGGCTGATCCCACTACAGCAAGGGCTTGCATCCTCTCTTCTCAGGAGAGAGAAAGGTGAGCAGAGTGAGGCTGGTCAGTGGTGTGATACCCCTCTCTGTGATTCAGAGCTGCCATAAAATCTAAGGCTGAGGTAGAGGACCACCCTCCCCTAAGAGGTGGAGCCTTTGTGATTCATCCCAGAAGAGGGGCCTAACCTGGTGCTGTCTCCTTCCAGATCCCCCTGAGGTGACCGTGTTTCCCAAGGAGCCTGTGGAGCTGGGCCAGCCCAACACCCTCATCTGCCACATTGACAAGTTCTTCCCACCAGTGCTCAACGTCACGTGGCTGTGCAACGGGGAGCTGGTCACTGAGGGTGTCGCTGAGAGCCTCTTCCTGCCCAGAACAGATTACAGCTTCCACAAGTTCCATTACCTGACCTTTGTGCCCTCAGCAGAGGACTTCTATGACTGCAGGGTGGAGCACTGGGGCTTGGACCAGCCGCTCCTCAAGCACTGGGGTATGCAACTGCTTTTCTCTCCATAATCTCCTGGCATCCTCTATTCCAAAGACCTGGTGTCCTCTGCACCAGCTTTCCGCACTGGCTGGGTCTCAGTCCTCTCCTCGTCCTAACATCCAATTAACTGGTCCATAACCTTCAATTCCCACAACCATCCCAGGCCATCACCACCCTCACTGCACCTCCTGACCCTATCTCTTCATTCTTCCCCCAGAGGCCCAAGAGCCAATCCAGATGCCTGAGACAACGGAGACTGTGCTCTGTGCCCTGGGCCTGGTGCTGGGCCTAGTCGGCATCATCGTGGGCACCGTCCTCATCATAAAGTCTCTGCGTTCTGGCCATGACCCCCGGGCCCAGGGGACCCTGTGAAATACTGTAAAGGTGGGAATGTAAAGAGGAGGCCCTAGGATTTGTAGAATGTAAGGAAGGGAGGAAAAATTCAATCTGATAAGTGTTCATTGATCTTCTAATGGGTTAAAAGCATTCAGCCACATAACAACAACAATACCGATAACTAACTGAGTAGTTAATATGGTCAGGCGCTATTCTGAGGATTTACATTTATTAACTCACTTTATTCTCACACATAGTCTTTGAGGTAGGTACTATTATTTTCACTATTTCACATGAGAGATACTTACATCTTTTTACATACACAGAGACTTTAAGCACTTTGATCAAGTTCCCACAGCTATGAAGTAGTAGGGCTAGCTTCCAATCCAGAAAGTCTGGATCCAAGACTGTTTATCCACTGTCCTATTCACCCTATTTTGTGAAGGAAAAGACCAAGTTCAAATTCTCCAGAGTCCATTGCCAAATAATGGAGTCAGATCTATATTTCTATACATAATTACAACACAGTGTGGTGGGTGCCTGTAACTACTTACTGTCTCTACTTGGACTCATTCCATGGCAATGTTCACACAAAAAATGCCCCTCCAGAGATCTTACAGGTTTCTATTTATCATAACACTCACCATGCTTTATATTTTTATATGTTTTGGGAATTCTCTTAGCATTAGACAGTGAACTTCCATGCAGATGACCACATCTAATTCATTATTATTATTGTTATTCATGCTGGACCTCAGGTACAAAAGGTTAAGAACTTCTCAGTTCATTATATGATCATCATTGGTGCCTCCGAGCTCTCTCTCTCTCCCTTGATTTATTTGGTCCCTTTTATCTCCAGTCCTTACTCCCATATCTAACCTCTTACCCCTACCTCATAGGTAAACATTTTAATGAATTTGATGTTTCCTTTTATTTGCATAGATCCTCTGTAATATGTAGTAGTGTCCAGTGTACATGTATTTTTAATTAACCAAAATGGCATTAAATTATAGATCTAATTTTGTACATCCAGTTTGTTTCTTCCAAATCTTCCATAGTATTTTACTTTATATGTCCATGCATTAGTCCATTTTGCATTGCTATAAAGGAATATCTGAAGTTACCTAATTTACGAAGAAAAGAGCTTTAAATGGCTCACAGATCTGCAGGCTGTACGCGAAACATGGCACTAGCATCTGCTTCTGTTGGGGGATTCTGGAAGCTTTTACTCATGGTGGAAGGCAAGTGGAGCCAGTGCATCACATGGTCATAGAGGGAGAAAGAGACATAGAAAGAGGTGCCAGCCTCTTTTTAACAACCAGGTTTCATGTGCACTAATAGAGTGAGAACTCACTCATTACCCGGAGAGGGGACAAAGCCATTCATGAGGGTCTCCTCCATGATTCAAATACCTCCCACCAGGCCCCACCTGCAACACTGGGGATCAATTTTCAACATGAGACTTGGAAGTGACAAATATCCAAATCATATTAATCCACATATCTACATTGCTCCTGGGATACCTGGATCATTCCTGGTTCTCTACTATTGCAAGCAATGCTTGTATCTCACATGGAACTGCATATACATGTGGGCCTGACCTGCATCCCTGGAATGTATGTATCCTAGAAAGGGGTTGCAGGGTTGCTGGAGATGCAGCTCCTTAATTTGACTAAACACTGCTCATCTTCTCATCAGAATGGCTGTACTCATCTGAACTTCCTTTGTCAGTACTCTAATTGTCCTGCAACTCCTAAATGGACTTCAACACTGGACATTATCCAGTTTTCTAACTTTTGCCAATTTCATGTGCATAAAGAAATATGCTGTTTTATTTTGCATTTCTTTAATTACTAATAATTGGGGCTATAATTAGGACTGATTAGCCACTTGGGGGTTCCTTTTCTATAAATTGCCTGTTCACATTCATTGTCCATTTTTGTACTATGTGCTTCCATCATTTTCTTATTGATTTGCAGGTGATCCTTATATAGTCCTGCTAGTAGTCCCTTGTCAGTTTTAGGCATTGCAAATGTTTTCCTCTAATCTGACTTCTGGCAACTGTCTCCTTGGTTTCCTTTATTGAAGAGAAATCCTTAATATTTTGTAATGAAGTCCATCAACTGTATTTTTGTTTGTGTGTCTTTTTTAAAAGAAGTCTTCCCTATACTGAGATATCAAAGATACTCTTAAAACATCTCCTACAGTTTTAAATTTCACATTTACTACTTTAATTCATCTGGGATTCATCTTTGTGTTTGATGGGGATCATGTTTTATTTTTCTTTATATAATGGGCCAGTGTGTTCCCACAACTACTAAATAGTTCACCTTTTCCCCATAGGTTAGTAGTGTCTCCTTTGCTATACTGAAAGCTCCCATTATAGGTGGGCCTGTGTCTGAGTTCCATCTTGTTCCACTGTTCTGTTTGTCTCTTCTTGTGCCAGTGTCCTAGTATTTTGATTACTATGACATTGTAGTGTGTGTTAGTATCCAGTAGGACAAATTCTTGTTTATTTTTCTTAGTTCACACACATTTATAATTATATCTATAATGATTTGTAACAGAGTGAAGTGAATGTAGAATGTCAGATGTTAAGAGGAAGAATGGAAAAGAGGGCTGGGACTAGGGTGATGTAGGGGATGCACCTGGCTTAGGTGCAAAATTTGGGGGATACCAAAAGAACTCAGTAATAAATCATATTTTAATGAAATATCTTGAAAAGGCAAAATTAATGCAAAGATACATGATTAACAAAACATCCAAAGAGGAGTATTTAACAAAAATGGAGAAGCAGAGAAGCAGAAGAATTAGGAGAATATGCTGTCACATGAGCCAAGGAATTAAAGAATTCAGGAAGGAGGAAGTACTGCTGTCAGATGTTCAACAGAGGTCATTTTAGAAAATTTACCTTGGTTTTTGAAATCCTTTCAAAGAGCAGTATACACAATGTGAGCAAGTATCCTTCGTTCATTGCCGTCATTGATATGGTTTGGATATTTGTCCCTTCCAATTCTCATTCCAGGGTTAAGCTTCTTCTCTGCCCTCAGTAATGTGGCCCTTCCCCTTGTCTGTATATTTTGGAGACATGAAGCATGTGGGATGGCCTCACAGTCAGCTGGGGTTTGAGGGTGAAATTCAATGACTTTCGTGAACTCCTTGGCTCCTATGTGCTCTTCACCTGGAGGACCAGGGCATGTGCAGGGATGACCACCTTCTCCCTGGGACCTGAACAGGGCAGAGAAATGGGAAGCTCGGGTGCAAAGGGAGTGGGGAAGATGGGTCCGGGCTTACAGTACTGAACCCAGGAATGACAATAACTGTGTGTGTTGCTGCAGGTGACAAAATATCTGAACAGAAGAGGACTTAGGAGAGATCTGAACTCCAGCTGCCCTACAAACTCCATCTCAGCTTTTCTTCTCACTTCATGTGAAAACTACTCCAGTGGCTGACTGAATTGCTGACCCTTCAAGCTCTGTCCTTATCCATTACCTCAAAGCAGTCATTCCTTAGTAAAGTTTCCAACAAATAGAAATTAATGACACTTTGGTAGCACTAATATGGAGATTATCCTTTCATTGAGCCTTTTATCCTCTGTTCTCCTTTGAAGAACCCCTCACTGTCACCTTCCCGAGAATACCCTAAGACCAATAAATACTTCAGTATTTCAGAGCGGGGAGACTCTGAGTCATTCTTACTGGAAGTCTAGGACCAGGTCACATGTGAATACTATTTCTTGAAGGTGTGGTTTCAACCTCTGTTGCCGATGTGGTTACTAAAGGTTCTGATCCCACTTGAACGGAAAGGTCTGAGGATATTGATTCAGTCCTGGGTTTTTCCCTAACTACAGGATAGGGTGGGGTAGAGAAAGGATATTTGGGGGAAATTTTACTTGGATGAAGATTTTCTTGGATGTAGTTTGAAGACTGCAGTGTTTGAAGTCTCTGAGGGAAGAGATTTGGTCTGTCTGGATCAAGATTTCAGGCAGATTAGGATTCCATTCACAGCCCCTGAGCTTCCTTCCCAAGGCTGTATTGTAATTATAGCAATATTTCATGGAGGATTTTTCTACATGATAAACTAAGAGCCAAGAAATAAAATTTTTAAAATGCCCTAATTCATTGCAATTTTTACCAGCCATAGTCACTCCATGTGGGAGAACTTAAATCATGATTACCAGAGCTTTCAAAGGTTTGAGAATAGTGATGATTATGAAGAAAAATATCTTATTTGAGCAAGGATTTTGTTTCTTTATGAGTGTTCATTAGATATTACGATGAAAAAAGCATGAAATGGTAAAAATTCAGATAAATATAAAAACATGTTCTCTAGTTTTTTTTAAGTTAAAAAAGGAATTGTTTAAAGTAAAAATTATTTGGGGGTTTATAACATACCCAGAAGTAAAATATGATGACAATGGCACAAAGAATAGAAGGGAGAAATGGAAGTATAATGTTGTAAGTTTCTTATACATGTTAAGTGGTGTGTTATTATTTGAAGGTAGAATGTATTAAGATGAATATTTTAAGCTCCTGATAACTATTGAAAAAAAAAGAGGTATAGCCAAGAGGCCAATGGAGAAGATAAAATAGAACACTAAGCATAATTAATTCAAAATAAAGAAATAAAAAAGGGAAAGTCTGGTAAGACAAAAAGAAAACAAACTGTAAGATGGTAGAGTTTAAAACAACCATACTAATAATTGAATTAAATGCACATGGCCTAAATATTCTAATGAAAAGGGAAAGATTGTCAGAATGCACAAAAAAATCTACAGGCCAACTTCATGCTCTCTACATAATGCCCTCTTTAAATATGAAGGCAAAGACAGGTAAAAAGTAAAAGAATGGGAAAATACATGTATACCGTGGAATGCTATGCAGCCATAAAAAAATGAGTTCATGTTGTTTGTGGGGACATGGATGAAGCTGGAAGCCATCCTTCACAGCAAACTAACACAGGAACAGAAAACCAAACACCACACGTTCTCACTCGTAAGTGGGAGTTCAACAATTAGAACACATGGACACAGGGAGGGGAACACCTCACACCAGGGTCTGTCAGGGCATGGGGAGCAAGGGGAGGGAGAGCATTAGGACACATACCGAATGTATGCATGGCTTAAAACCTAGATGATGGGTTGATAGATGCAGCAAACCACATGGCACATGTATAACTATGTAACAAACCTGCACATTCTGCACATGTATCCCAGAACTTAAAGTAAAAAAAAAAAAAACGAAAATAATGCCAACCATGGAAGTATTGGTGGCTGTGTTAATATCAGAAATATAAGACTCAGAAATATTACCAAGGAGAAAGAAGGATAGTTCATAATGATAAAAGGATCATTTTATTATCAACATATAACAATCCTAAATGTGTTTGTTCTTAGAAAATATGTCTTAAATCACATTATACCAAAAATGATAAAAATAAATCAGAAATAGACAAATTCACAATTATATTTTAGTATTCTAGCACTCAGTAAACAATAAAATATTTAGGAAAAAACTTCATGAGGACATGATAGATTTAAATAACATTATCAATGAACCAACGTGATCTAATCAAGATCTGTAGAATATTCCACCCAATAGTGGCAGAATACACATTATTTTCAAATGCTCAAGAATATTCCACAGGACAGACTATACACTGGGTCATAAACACATATAAATAAATGTCTAAATAAATAAATGTCTCTATTGAAATCATACAGAATACATTCTCGGACCACAATAGCATTAAATTAGAAACCAATAACAGAAAAATACCTTGAAAGTCCCAAATACCTAGAAATTAAAAAGTATACTGCTAAACAGCACCTGGATTTAAAAAGAGTCAGAAGGAAAATTAGAAAATATTTTGAACTGAGTGAATATGAAAGCACACTATCAAAATTAGTATGATACACTAATTAGAGAATAATTTATAACTTTACATAATTGGAAAGGAGGGAAACTCTAAAATCAACCATCTATGTTCCCATCTTAAGAAGCTAGAAAAAAAAAGTCAAATGAATCCCAAGATTAATAAGATCAGAAATAAATGCAATAAAATGGACAAACAATAAAGAAAATAAACAAAGTCAATTGCTGGTTTTCAATAAGGCTCAATACATTCATGAATCTCTAGGTAGATGGATCAAGAAAAAGAGATAAGACTCAAATCCCCAATATCAGAAATGGAAGTGGGTACGTCACAACAAATCATACAGACATTAAAAGTATTATGACAGAATGCTATGAAAATGCCAATAAACAAAAATGACAATAAATTTGACAATTTACATTGTTAAATTAAATTAAATTTGGTGTAAAGCTTTCTCCATATCTTAAATTCCTACATAGCAAACTAACCCAACTTAACATAACTGCGTTATGCAAACAAACTACAGCCTAACTTAAGAGTGTTGTAATAAATAGCTGAGTCTCAGCCAATCACAGGCTGCCAAGTGATCATATTATGTCCCCCATAAGGCAAATGCCTCATCACGCCATGCCCATATAAGGCAAACACTGAGCTGTAATAAATTGGCTGGTTTTGAGTATCACTTCCTGTTTTTATCTATAAACACTGCCTTCACATGTTGCTGGACAGAGCTTTCTGAATCTTTCTGGGTTCTGAGGGCTCCCCAATTCATGAATTGTTCTTTGCTAAATAAACTCTGTTAAATTCAACTTCTCTAAAATTTTTATTTTAACAACATGAAATAGAAACATTTCTTGAACGATTCAAATTACCAAAACTAAATCAAGAAGAAATCTCTGTCAATGGAAGAAATTAAGTTTGTAATTTTAAAAATCCTTCTCACAGAGAAGGCCAAATGGTTTCCAGGTCAGATGGCTTCATTGATTAATCCATAGTATTCTGTCATAATACTGTCATAATACTTTTAATGTCTGTATGATTAATTCTATTATACATTTAAGGAAGAAACAATACAAACTCAATACAAACTCTTTCAACAAAAGAGCAGAAGAAAACACATCCCAATAATTTACAAGTCCAATATACTAACATCAAACAATGACATTAAAAGAAAAGGAAACTAAAGACACACAAACATAGCCATGAAAATGTTTAACAAAATATTTTTTAAAATTGAATTCAATAATATATTAAAAAGGATGATATAACATGATCATAAAAGTTTATGCCAGGAATGGAAGGCATGTTTAACATGCAAAAAATCAATGTGATTCCACATCTTAACAGAATACAAAGAAAAATTATGTAATTATGTAAATGGATGCAGAAAAAGGCATTTGCTCATTCATGATAAAAAGTCCTAGAAAACTAGGAATAAAAAGGAATTACCTGATAAGGTGTGTCCATGAAAACCAACAACTGAAATTTTCAATTTTGGGTGGGGGAGGGGGGCGGGCATTTTACTTTCTCCATAAAACTATTAAATTATCTAATGTGAAAGTGGAATTCAGTGAAGAAATGTTCCCTACTGCAAAAATACAAAATGCTGGACATTCTGTGAACAGTTTCTATGCATTCTATATAAATGAAACTATTAACTATATAATACATTTATTGAAAAAAGAAGATGGCCTTCTTTTTTTTTCCTAATGGCTGTTGAATTTATTTGCTTGATCAATAATGGTCCTGGCAAAAATTGACCAATGCTGAGACATTTGTAATGAAATACTAATTTTAAAAGTCCATGACACCTTGATAGAAATTAGAGTTTACACAAACAAAAAAGGAACCTTCGATATTTCCAGCAGCTACAAGGTGAATGTACTGAGACCGACAGGACAGCAAGAAGGCATTTGCACATTTATATCTGACACCAGACCACACTTTCAGCCACCAGAATATCTTCTCTCCATATTTTAAAAAATAGTGTCTCTCCCTCTCCCTCTCCCCACGGTCTCCCTCTCCCTCTCTTTCCACAGTCTCCCTCTGATGCCGAGCCGAAGCTGGACGATACTGCTGCCATCACGGCTCACTGCAACCTCCCTGCCTGATTCTCCTGCCTCAGCTTGCCGAGTGCCTGCGATTGCAGGCGCGCGCCGCCACACCTGACTGGTTTTCGTATTTTTTTGGTGGAGATGGGGATTCGCTGTATTGGCTGGGCTGGTCTCCAGCTCCTAACCGAGAGTGATCCGCCAGCCTCGGCCTCCCGAGGTGCCGGGATTGCAGACAGAGTCTCGTTCACTCAGTGCTCAATGGTGCCCAGGCTGGAGTGCAGTGGCGTGATCTCGGCTCGCTACAACCTCCACCTCCCAGCAGCCTGCCTTGGCCTCCCAAAGTGCCGAGACTGCAGCCTCTGCCCGGCCGCCACCCCGTCTGGGAAGTGAAGAGCGTCTCCGCCTGGCCGCCCATCGTCTGGGATGTGAGGAGCCCCTCTGCCTGGCTGCCCAGTCTGGAAAGTGAGGAGCGTCTCTGCCCGGCCGCCATCCCATCTAGGAAGTGAGGAGCGCCTCTTCCCGGCCGCCATCACATCTGGGAAGTGAGGAGCGTCTCTGCCTGGCCGCCCATCGTCTGAGATGTGGGGAGCACCTCTGCCCTGCCGCCCCGTCCGGGATGTGAGGAGCGTCTCTGCCCGGCCGCCCCGTCTGAGAAGTGAGGAGACCCTCTGCCTGGCAACCGCCCCGTCTGAGAAGTGAGGAACCCCTCCGCCCAGCAGCCACCCTGTCTGGGAATTGAGGAGCGTCTCCGCCCGGCAGTCACCTCCTCCGGGAGGGAGGTGGGGGGGTCAGCCCCCCGCCCGGCCAGCCGCCCCGTCCGGCAGGTGAGGGGCGCCTCTGCCCGGCCGCCCCTACTGGGAAGTGAGGAGCCCCTCTGCCCGGCCAGCCGCCCCATCCGGGAGGGAGGTGGGGGAGTCAGTCCCCCGCCCGGCCAGCCGCCCCATCCGGGAGGGAGGTGGGGGGGTCAGCCCCCCGCCCGGCCAGCCACCCCATCCGGGAAGTGAGGGGCGCCTCTGCCCGGCCGCCCCTACTGGGAAGTGAAGAGCCCCTCTGCCCAGCCAGCCGCCCCGTCCGGGAGGGAGGTGGGGGGTCAGCCCCCTGCCCCGCCAGCCGCCCCGTCCGGGAGGGAGGTGGGGGGGTCAGCCCCCCGCCCGGCCAGCCACCCCATCCGGGAAGTGAGGGGCGCCTCTGCCCGGCCGCGCCTACTGGGAAGTGAGGAGCCCCTCTGCCCCGCCACCACCCCGTCTGGGAGGTGTACCCAACAGCTCATTGAGAACGGGCCGTGATGACAATGGCGGTTTTGTAGAATAGAAACGGGGGAAAGGTGGGGAAAAGATTGAGAAATCGGATGGTTGCCGTGTCTGTGTAGAAAGAGGTAGACATGGGAGACTTTTCATTTTGTTCTGTACTAAGAAAAATTCTTCTGCCTTGGGATCCTGTTGATCGGTGACCTTACCCCCAACCCTGTGCTCTCTGAAACATGTGCTGTATCCACTCAGGGTTGAATGGATTAAGGGTGGTGCAAGATGTGCTTTGTTAAACAGATGCTTGAAGGCAGCATGCTCCTTAAGAGTCATCACCACTCCCTAATCTCAAGTACCCAGGGACACAAACACTGCGGAAGGCCGCAGGGTCCTCTGCCTAGGAAAACCAGAGACCTTTGTTCACTTGTTTATCTGCTGACCTTCCCTCCACTATTGTCCTGTGACCCTGCCAAATCCCCCTCTGCGAGAAACACCCAAGAATGATCAATAAAATAATAATAATAAAAAAAAAATAGTATGCTGATTTCTACAACAAAGATTTTTTTCATACAAAAATCAAATCATGGCCAGAAGATATCCTTCTTAAACTGGATGCCAGATGAGCATGCTGAACACAAAGCATGGTTTGTAGAGAAGAGATGTTTCTAACAAAAAAATTAAGGACAGAGTTTGAGGTAATGACGGAACATCCAGACGGATGTGCCCAGTACATATACTGAGATGAAGCCAGAGACTATACACTAATGGGTTTTTCTGTGGCATCATGATTGATGCCATGAGGGTGACTGAGATCTGCAGGAGAATGAGTGTAGAGAGATGAGCAAAGGGCTGAAGATTATGCCTTAAGTATGTCTCCATTTAAAAATGGGAAATGGAGGAGCAGTGCACAAAGGAGTATGCATTATTTCCTGCCTCAGCGTTTTGGGGTAAATAGGGTAAGGAAGAGAGGGCTATGGGAAGAGAATGACCTGTCTCTCCATCTCACTTATAACTATCTGGTTGACCACCAACTGGATAAGACCAAATAGTTTGATATACCTGTCAAGGGACTTAATATAACATTAGCCTGCATTAATATCAGCAATATTTCTGTAATAAGGAAGGTGATAGATCTCCTATTCCCTTCTTGAACTTTACTTGAAGCTCTGTACACTCAGACATAGATTTTTAAGAAAAATCTGTACCACCTGGACAGAGGTATAAAGGAAAATGGAAAACAGGAGTAAAATAGTTCAAAGGGTTGTGATTTTGGAGCCATTAAAGAATCTGGTCAAGTTTGGTTTGGTGAAGTGAAAAAAGCAGAACCAGGATTGGTTTAAGAATCTCTGACTCCAAATAACTATACCTCAACTATGGAGGTCCTAGGAGGTCAGGCAGGGGTGTGTTGCTTTATTTATGAGAAAAGTGTACGCACGTATCTCTAAATATGTAAGGTACATGATGATTCCTTTTTTATTGTCTTGAGTAGGATGATCTGCTCCTAGCAGCGTGCAGATGGGGCTTATGTAAGCCCTAAGCACTCGTGTATGACAGAGGAAGAAAAGGTTCTTCCTTAGGATGAGAGAACTTCAAACAAGATTACTCCAGCCCATCCTCCCATTTGCTCTCTCTTTCTGTTTTCAGCTCACATAGAAAAGCCCTTTTTGGTATTTAAGCTCAATTGCTCTTATTGTGGGACAGTGGAGGCTGTGTATTACACCCATAAAAACTATTTGTCTCTATTTCCTCTCTGAAAAGGTAGCATTGCAACACTTCCCTCTCTGCTTTCCCTTCTCTCTCTTAGCCAGGGGCCCCATTGCTCAGGGTTAGAATACACAGTCAACTAAAAAAATCTGTCCCATAAAGGGACTGTTGAACACTCAACTGTCTGTTTGATGGTTGAAGCTAAGCTCTAAGAGTGAGAGTAAAATGCCGATGGAGAAGGTTTGGAGAAAGCTGTGATGACAAGAATTATCACTTCTGCTTAATGACTTTCCCTCCAGCCAATGAGATTTGAGTGTGAAGCATCCTCACTTGTGACCAGGTAATAAAGGTACTGAGATTGTCCTGAGTGAGTTGCAGAGAAGGGAGAGGTATGGCATGCTATCAAGAGAACAGTTCTTTTCATAGTGGGAAAATGTATCAGAGTGTCACGTGGACATAGAAGTGAGAGAACTGAGGGTTGAAGTGGGTTCTTGGGAAGGTTACATCTTCTGCTGTTGAGAAAATCTGAAGTGTATGCCAACTAGGGTTAGAATTGCTGCCTCACAGGAAGTAGCACTCTGTGCAGCCACCAATTAAAGCTGCCCTGCCTGGATCCTTTTAGTATTTTGGGATTGATAAATAGATATGAATAACAAATGGGCAAACCCAGGCAAGGTAAAACTAAGGAGAAAACATAGAAATAGTGCACAGAAACGAGTTAGAGAAGAATAAAACAGAATATAAGTACAAGTCTCCTTACCTGTTGGCACATGGGAATAGTTTTGGTGTATGCTAAAATAGTTTTTCCTTGGAGCTTCAGGTTGTAAATTGCTAAGGAAAACCTGCTTGGTGCTGGAGTCCGGAGTCTTTACTTTTCTTCTAGTTACAGCTCTCAGATGCCTGTTCAGGTTCTCAGAAGCATAGTACCCATTAGCTACTTTGTTAGATCCACTGTGAAATTTGGCTTCCATATCCGGTTTTACAATTCAATGTTGGATCAAAAAGACTGGTTGGCCTCCTAGAAGCCTTTCTAAATTCTACTGAGCTGGAAACGGTTAGAGAAAGAGCTGTCTACTCTCTGAGGAGCACTTCTGAGTTACTTCTACTTCACAGGTTCTAACACAAAAGGTGTTAACCCTAGAGGATTAGAACCTAATCAGTTATGGCAAACAGAAGTTACATCCCTGAATTTGGAAAACTAAGATATGTACATGTATCCATTGATACCAACACTCATCTAATAAGTGCACACGCTCTTCTGTTGACTGAAGTGTACAGATGTGTGCAGCAACACGTCTGTCAGGCAAGGCAGTCATCGCTTTCATTCCGGCTTTGCATCCTAGAATTAGCAAATAACATAAGACAATCATGAGAATAATTAGCAATATTCTTTTCCAGTCAAAGAGTGAACCCCAGGAGCGGGGGTCTAACCAGGAGTGATGATCTTGCACACCCTTCCATATGGCTGTTTGTTGGGTGTGTAGATCTATAGTGGGAAGGGATTCTAAAATTTTAGTTTGAAGTTGCTTTACATCTGCTATTAAATTGTCATGAAATGTTCCCCAGAGGTGTTGTTTCACTTCATCCCAACTATGTATTGATTGATTCTATGATAGAGAAGTGACGCAGATATGTTTATGCGCCCAGTCGCAGTTTAGTTGCTGTTAGAATACCAGTGCATCTTGTTACTCCCCCATATATTCCAGGGCAGCCTCAAGGGCCTCAAGGGCTTGCAGACGTGCAAGAATCTTTTGCTCTATACCCTGCTGTAAGAGAAGTTCATTAGACACATTTCTGGCCAAATTATCTACAAAAGCACCTATTTGTACTGATTCAGTAATAGCTGCTACAGCCACACTAGCAGTTGCTAGGATGACTGTGGCTGAGACTATAAAGGCTGTAAGTGTGCCTATGTATCTTTTGGGTCTGGCCTAGGACAGGGCACATTCTTAGGTGGCAAGGGCAGAGGAACCTTGCCAATCGCATGTCAAATTGACTGGGTAGGAATGCCTCAGATTGTCTCCTTAATACCATGACACTAGTAATATTTAAATTAGATGTATTATAATTAGTGATACATGAGGCAAACCAAGCCTGTTCCTGCACCTGGGTCACAAATGCGGAGTTTTGGGGTGTAATGGAAGTATCAGTTTCCATAAGGAAAATATATGTATGGGTAGTATAAATTAGGCACTGATCAGTGTGATTATGAATAAAGGTTATAGTGTATTTGCCACTGGAATTATGATATGTCCCATGCCAGGTGAAAAGGAGGTGCTAAGATGTCCCAGGTACCGTAAAGTGTCTTGGGTAGCATGGACTTTACTTGGGGTATGGGATAACCCATCCCCCCCATTGGCCTAAATCATAGGGGAACGTGATGAGGCTACAAAACTGTGATTAACACCATGATAGATGAGGACATCAGTAAGGATGCCCTGAAAATGGCCGTGGGGGCTCCAGTCTAAGGTATTATAATGGCCTAGCTGGAGGCTACAAGCTTATTCCCCGTGACAGACCTCCCAGCTAAAGTGGAATCCATTACTTTCCCAGCTTTATTCTTTAGCACAGGAAGGAATGTTTGGGAAAGAATCATTGATTGCATTACCTGATTTGAAGCTACCTGCAGCTAAGACTTTAAAGGCATTTCTTTTGCCATGATGTAGCCATAATTGTGTTTGGGCAGGTACACAGTAAGGGTTATAATCTTTATAACTTACACACAGTGGGAGGATAGTGGAGTGATATGTAGTGTGTCTGGCACCTTAGTCCAGTGTATGCCATTATCGAGGGACCCCACTGGGGGTAAATCTATCCCTCCTAGCCAAGCAGTTATGTTATTAAAAGTTGGGAAGGGAGTGTCTGCCTAGGTGACAGGGTGAAAGAAAGGCGGATCTAAGATATGAGCCCAATAGAGTGTAGCAGGAACAGGTTGCAGACAAAGCACGAGCATAAAAAGGATCAATACCCTACATGAGTTGCAATGTACAACAGAAATCATAGCAAGGAGCAAATTATCTGGAGTGAATGGTGTCTGTGTCCAGAGCAGGGTTCATTCAGCCTCCTGAGTTGTCCTCTTCAGCATCCCCCAGTAATGTCTAGGGTTTGTGTCATCCACGGAAGCTGCATCATCCGGGACCGTGGGTCCTGCAGGGTTAGTTCCTTCATTTCTGGTACCGGGTTGAGTCCTAGCCATGTCATGGTATGGTTTGATGTGTCTTGCTGGAATCCAAAGAGGACTTGAGGGGGTGTGGACACAAGCATACCCTCTTCTCCAAGTTAACAATTCATTTGGACCACACCATACATTACTGCTTACATCTTTCCATAAAACTGCAGGTTTTATGTCTTGAGAGGTTTTAGCAAAAAGTGTTTCTCTATAGTTGATTGAAATTTGTCATCTACATTTTAAAAATTAAGGGTAAATAAGGCTTGTGCCAATAGTGTTGCAGGGTCTTTACCCATACTCCCCCTTTTCTGTTTTTTGAGCATATTTTTAAGGCTGGAGTGGGCACGTTCTACTATGGCCCGTCCTTGGGGGTTATACGGGATGCCTATGGAACGTTGGATATTCCACGTGTGACAAAATTGTTGAAATTGTGAGCTGGCATAAACTGGACCATTATCAGTTTTAATTTTTATGGGCCGCCCCATACATGCAAAAGTTGAAAGAAGATGTTTAATGACATATTGAGTGGACTCTCCAAGGAAGAGCGTGTGCACTAATTAGATGAGTGCTGGTATCAATGGATACATGTACATATCTTAGTTTTCCAATTTCAGGGATGTAACTTCTATTTGCCATAACTGATTAGGTTCTAATCCTCTAGGGTTAACACCTTTTGAAGGAGGGGACATGCCTGTTAGCTGGCAATTTGAGAATTGTGGGATAATTTGTTTAGCCAGTCTCTGGGTAAGTTGAAATTGCTTAGATAAGTTTCTCCAATTTTGGTGGAAAAATTGATGCGATTGGGTGGTTTGGTCAAGCAGTGATGTCATCACCTGAAGGTCTCCTTGATCACTGCCATAAGCCAGTGGGCCAGGCAGTGAGCTGTGGACTCGAATGTGTGTAATAAAAATAGGATGTGTACATTGATCTAGCAATTGCTGAAATCAGAGAAAAAGAGCACACAGGGCAGGCTCCAGAGTGGACTTAATTACGGCTGCTTCAAGATTTTGCAATAAATAAACAAAGTAGGCAGAATCACTAACTATATTGATGGCTGAGTAGAAAAAGTTTCCAAGGCCAATATCAGGGCCCCGATCTCACCTCTCTGAATGCTAGTAAACCCAGATTGAGTGAGTGAATTATGTGGTCTCCACCAGATTGCCGCCTTTCCATGTTTGCCTGAATCATCAGAAAACAATGTTAAAGCATTAGGTATGGAGGAGTGAACTATTTTTGTTGGCAAGATCACAGGAGTATGAGATAAGAAATGAAGGAATTTATCAGCAGGAAGAACATGCTCTATTTGTCCTGTGTAATCAGAGAGAGCTATTTGCAGATCTAACAATAGGGACAAAACTGCTTCTAATTGCTTTTTACTTAAAGGAATCCTGATGATTTCAGGATATCAGGATCATAGCCTAGCAACTGACTGCATTGTTTGAGGCCTGAATATACGACTTTACTAATTAACTGAATGTAGGGAAAGAGTGTTTTAGTCCTGGTATGTGAGCAAAAAAAAATCCATTCTAGAAAGCGCAGTCCTGGGGTCATCGGTCCTATTAATCCTGAAGGGGAGTGTTTGGTGGGGAAAATAAACAACTGGATGAAATAATGGGTGTCTATGTGATCTAGTTGCCTCTGAGAGATGGCTTGTTCTATTTCCTCAATTTCCCTTTTTGCTGCAGGGTTTAAATATCTGGGAGAATTCAGGGCTATATTGCCCTTTAAGATAGAAAACAGGTTTTGCAGCTTATAAGTAGGAATGCCTAAAGTGGGGCAGAGCCAGTTGATATCACCTAGTAATTTCTGATAATCATTTAAGGAATGTAAGTTGCTAGTATTTAATTTAACATTTTGAGGTCTTACTGACCAGGAAGTTAGCATGTACCCAAGATATATTTCCAAGGAGAGAAAGTTGTACTTTTTCAGGTGCAATGATTAAACCTCTTAGCTGTTTATTCTTTATGACAGAGGTATATAAATTTAAAAGTATTGGCTCTGTTGGGGTTGCTGGTAAAATATTCATAAAACGAATAATCTTGCAATTAGGAAATTCTTTTCTACTGGGAGCAAAGCTTGATTTACATGATACTGACACTTGGTAGGACTGTTTAGCATCCCTTGAGGAAGCACATTCCAATGAAATCAACAAGCTGGCCTTTCATTATTGATAGCTGGTATTGTAAATGCAAATTTTTCTCTGTCCTGTTCTGCTGGGGGAATCATATAAAAGCAGTCCTTTAAGTCAATAATGATTATAGGCCAATCTCGAGGAATCGCCACAGGGGATGGGAGGCCCTGTTGAAGGGGTCCCATAGGTTGCAAATTAGCATTAACAGCACATAGGTCATGCAAAATCTCCATTTCCCAGACTTTTTGGGAATGATGAAAATGGGCAAATTCCAAGGACAAATAGATGGTTCTACATGCCCAGCTTTTAATTGCTCTTCAACTAATTCACAGGCTTTTTGTAATTTCTCTCCCTTCAGAGGCCACTGTTCTACTCAAATTGGATCTTGAGAGAGCTACGACGGGGGTAGGGGAGGAATAATAACAGTGGCCATTGTTATAAAGGGGGCTGAGAGTCACCCCTCCCGCATTGGGCTAATAAATCCTGTCCCCAAAGATTAACAGGGATGCGCATGCTTACGGGTTGTATAACTGCCTTTCTTCCTTCTGAATTGCAACAGGTTAGGGGGTGCATGCTCTGCTTGGCTCTGTGTGCTTCCCTGATGCAGACCATTTTTTATTTCTGAGTGACCCAAGGCCAAATTTCTAGCCAGTTTTGATCACTAATGATTGAAACGTCCACCCCTGTGTCCAATAAGCCAGTAAAATTATTATTTCCAATTTTTAAGATAATCATGGGTCTCTGATCAGTGATTAATTGATTCCCATATACTCCTGTGGCTCCTGTGCTCCCAAAACTTCCTTTCCCCTTTCCTTTCCGTGGGCACTGGGGACCCAGTATGGCAAAATCAGTAACTGAGCTATCTTTGATCCAGGGGGAAGAATATTCAGACCTTTACATTCCATCATAACCAATATCTCACCTTGGTAATCACTACCAATTACCCCAGTGAGCACATTAATTCCTTTACTGGACAGGCTAGACCGCCCTAGGACTAATCCCACTGCTTCTGGAGGCAGCTGGCCCCAGATCCCGTATGCAGCCCTTTTAGGGTCTTCTCCTTCTTTCAGCACTGATTTGTTGGGGCAGAGTAAGTCCAGTCCTGCACTCCCAGTGGTGGCTGCTCTGAGAGAGAGGACTGTGAGCTCTCCATCAGACCGAGGAAAGCTGGTGGGATTGCCCCAGTTTGAAGCAGGGCCTAGGGCCAGCCCATCATGAAGTTTCCCACCTGGTTACTTATGGGGTTTCTGTTTTTATCAAATTTTGACCTGCATTGATTTGCCCAATGTTTCACCGTTTTACATCCGGGGCATATAGAAGGGGGTTCTTTCCCTGAGTTACCTTCGTCTCTATTATGGGGGCATTCCCTCTTCATATGATCTGGCTCTCCACATAGAAAACAACTTTGGCTTCTCTCCCTTTTCACTTTAGGAGGCCTTAATGCCATAACCAATATTTTGGCTTGTGTGTCTCAGTTCCCACCAGCTGACATGCTCATATAAGTTCCCCGACTGTGGCTGCCTTTCTTCTGATTGCCTGCATTGCCTGCTGGTGATCCACATGAGAGTTTTCAAAAGCCAATTGCAACAATAAGATATCAGCAGCCTGGGCGTGACTAATTTGTCTCTTAATTGCCTGGGTTAACCAATTGAAAAACTCAACAAATGGCTCCTGAGGCCCTTGTTGAACATTTATAAAAGATCCTTGCTAAACTCCACTTTCAGGAATTCAGTCCCAAGCCCTGAGAGCACACAAAGACACTTGATTTTAGGCCTGGGGAATCAAAATCTAGTCGTTGTACATAGGCATGGGGATCCTTCCCCTGGAGCATAGCAGCTGTTAGGTCTTGCCCCGTCGCCTGATTCTGGTTAGCTTGTTGTTCACACAGCTCATCATATTCTGCCTTCCAGAGGAGGTATTGGCTAGGCTCCAAAGTTGTTTTGGTTAGCATTGCCCAGTCCCATGGGGTCATAGAAAAGTGGTCTGCCAAGGCCTCAATCATTCCTTTCATAAATGGGCTAGCAGCTCTGTTTTCTTTAATGCTTTTTCTTAGCTCCTTATAAGCATTAAAAGAAATGGGTTCATGTACCTGATTGCCTTGTCGGTCTTGCATTACCAGGCAGGCTAAGAGCTCCCCTTCCAATGCCACTTGCTTAAGACAAGGTCCCATAGCTGGAGCATGTCTCCTGTCTTTTTTCCTATCTATTGGAGGAGGGGGCTCAGGCAAAACCTCCATTTCCTCTTTGTTATTTTGGCCTGGTGATATCAGGGCTGAGGAACTTGCGGGTGGTAAAATACATGATGGTGCCTTGTCCTTCCCCTTTTTAGGCTCTTCTGTGTATAATGGGACCAAAGCCGCCCTTACTAAGGCCCATAGCATTAAAGATGATACTGGGACCCGTTACCCTTGAACATGATGTTGCTTAAGATTTTTTCCCACTCGTTCCCAGAGCTCTAGGTCTAGCATGCCTTCTTGGGGGAACCATGGGTTATGGGATACAACAGTTTGCATTAGGTTCCTTAATTAAACCTGTGAAACTGAGGCTCTGCTAGCTTTAAGCAGCCATTTCAATACTTTTATATACTGTTTCTGTTGAGCTGATAACTGTTGTCCCATGATGAAACCTTAGCCTGAACAATCCCCCGCCCCGAACTTGGAAATCCCAAGCAAGTACCAATGACTTACTGATTACTCACTGACTGCGCAGTTCCTTTTTCACCTTCATTTTCAGGGGGTTCATCAATCTCCCCTTGCAGCATTCCTCACGCGGGGCACCAGCTGTGGTAGTCTGACCCACAGACCCTGACCCAGTAATGGATGAGAGGTGTACACTGACACAGATATCTTGCTTGTCAGTTCAGCTGAGGGTCCAGGCCACACACAGACACCAAGGAAGGTGCTGTAAAGAGTTGCATCTATGGCCCTGATCAACCAGCAAAGCTCGCATTTGTTCACACCACTAGAGGGCAATTGACCTGTTTGCCGACCCCCCCAAGTAGAGAGCAATTATGCATCTGCAGTTGATCAAATGTTGGTCTTACGACCACATGAGTAAACAAGCTATTTAGATAAATGTTCCTTTGTATCTGTGCCCCAAGCAATTAACTCAAGGTAAGGATTACGCTGCTTTCAGCCATAACCCTATCTTGAGACTTTTGCAAATACCTTCCGGCCTTCCAAGAAGGTTTGTGTCTATATCCTATAATTTTACAATTTCTCCCACCATCCTGACTGAACCCCCACACTAGACTAACCAAGAAAAGAAAAGAGAATACCCAAGTAAACCATATCATAAATGAAAAAGAAGCTATTACAACAGATCCCACATAAATACAAAAGATAATCAGAAACCATTATGAACAAACATATGGTAACAAACTGGAGAAACAAGAGGAAATGGATAAATTTCTGGAAACATACAACTTACCAAGATTGAATCAGGAAGAAAGAAAATCTGGACAGACTAATACTGAGTACTGAAATGGAATCAGTAATAAAAAATCTCCCAAAAAAGAAAAATCCAGGAGCATATAGTTTCACTGATAAATTCCACCAAACTTTCAGAGAACCACCACCGATTTTCCTCCAACTGGTCCAAAAAGTTGAAGAAGAGGGAATTCTCCCAAACTCATTCTGTGAGGCTAGCATTACCCTAATGGCAAACCCAGACAAGGATGCTCCAAGAAAGAAAACTACAGGTGAATATCCTGATGAATACAGATGGAAAAATACTTACCAAAATAGGAGCAAACCGAATCCAACAGTAGATCAAAACAATAATATAATGTGATCAAGTAGGATTTACAGCAAGGATGCAAGGATATTTCAACATACACAAATCAATGAATGTGATACATCACATCAACATGATGAAGGCCAAAATCCATATGACTATCTCAATAAATGCAGAAGAAGCATTTGATAAAATTCAACACCTTTTCGTAATAAAAACTCTCAACAAACTAGGCATAAAAGGATCATGCCTTAATATAATAAAGGCTCTATGTGACAAAACCCACAGCTAACATCATACAGAATGGTGAAAAGTTGAAAGCTTTTTCTTTAGGAACTGGGAAAAGACAAGTATACACATGTTCACCCCTCCTACTCAACATAGTACTATTCTATCTATCCAAGGGGGGCTGCACATCAGCCCTGTCTCCTGTCTGCCATCTTCCTGGCAAGAGCTCATAAAGCAAGTTCCAAAATAATCTTATATTTAGAAAAACCAAACACTCCACCAGAACACTCTTAGAACTGATAAGCCAATTCAGTAGACTTGGCAGGATACAAAATTAATATGCAGAAATAAGTAGCATTTCTATTCACCAACAATGAAATAGCTGAAAAAGAAATGAAGAAGAGAATTCCATTTATGATAGCTACAAAAAATATGATAAAATACTTGGAATAAATTTTACCAAAGAGGTGAAAGATCCCTACAAGGAAAACTACAAAACACTGATGAAAGAAATTGAAGTGGACACAAACAAATGGAAAGAAATTCCATGCTAATGGATCAGAAGAATTAATATCATTAAAATGACCATATGGCCCAAAGCAATCTACAGATTTAATGTGATCCCTATCAAGATACCAATGTCACTTTCCACAAAAATATAAAAAACAATCCTAAAATTTGTATAGAACCATAAAAGATCCTGAATAGGCAAAGCCATCCTGAGCAAAAAGAACAAAGCTGGAAGTATCACAATACCTGAGTTCAAAACATTTTACAAGGCTGTAGTAACCAAAAGAGTAGAGTACTGGTATAAAAAACAGACACATAGACCAATAGAATACAACAGAATAGGGGACAGAATCATGGTGGACGGGAGGCATTATACATTGCCCCTCCAACTTGGATGGACAGAGCAGCTTGTGGAGTCTTGCATCATGAACTTTTGCTCCAGACCTATTGCAGGAATGACTGGGAAAGCTGAGAGAACCCACAGACCCTCTGAAGGGAGCAGATTGCTCCTGCAGGACCTGGGAGACATCCCAAATACTGTGAGTGCCCAAACTGTGGAGGTGGGAAAGGGGGATCTTCCACCCTTGAATGCATACCTCACTGGGGAACCTGAAGGTGTAGATCATGGGAGAAGATTCTGACCTGAACTGGAGCTGAGTCCATTTAGAAGCTGAGGGAAACACAGGGGTAGAGGAAGCAGCGGAAGGGACTTGTTTTGGGCACTAACATTTGGCTCTTTGTTACTTATGCAAATTTCTGCAGCTGGCTTGAATTTCTCCTCAGAAAATGGGATTTTATTTTCTATCGCATTGTCAGGCTGCAAATTTTTCAAACTTTTATGCTGTTTCCCTTTTAAAACTGAATGCTTTTAACAGCACTCCAGTCACCTCTTGAATGCTTTGCTGCTTAGAAATTTCTTCTGCCAGATACCCTAAATCATCTCTCTCAAGTTCAAAGTCCCACAAATCTCTAGGGCAGGGGCAAAATGCCACCAGTGTCTTTGCTAAAACATAACAAGAGTCACCTTTGCTTCAGTTCCCAACAAGTTCCTCATCTCCATCTGAAACCATCTCAGCCTGGATTTCATTGTCCATATCATTATTCAACAAGTCTCTAGAAAGTTCCACATTTTCCCACATTTTCCTGTCTTCTTCTGAGCCCTCCAAACTCTTGCAACCTCTGCCTGTTACCTAGTTCCAAAGTCACTTCCACATTTTTGGGTATCTTTTCTGTGGTGCCCCACTCTACCGGTACCAATTTACTGTATTATTCTGTTTTCACACTGCCGATAAAGACATAACTGAGACTGGGCAATTTACAAAAGATAGAGGTTTAATTGGACTTACAGTTCCACATGGCTGGGGAAGCCTGACAATCATGGTGGAAGGCAAGGAGGAGCAAGTCTCATCTTCCTTGGATGGTGGCAGGCAAAGAGAGAGCTTGTGAGGGCAACTCCGTTTTCGGAACCATCAGATCACCTGAGACCCATTCACTGTCACAAGAACAGCACTGGAAAGACCCACCCCCATAATTCAGTAATCTCCCACAGGGTGCCTCCCACAACACGTGGGAATTATGGGAGCTACAAGGTGAGGTTTGGGTGGGGACACAGATCCAAACCATATCACTGTAGAACAAATGGACTTAACAGATATTTACAGAACATTCTACTCAACAACAGCAGAATATACATTATTTTCATCAGCATGTGGAACATCCTCCAAGACAGATGTTATGGTAGGCCACAAAACAAGTCTCAATAAGTTTAAGAAAATCAAAATTATATGATGTACCCTCTCAGACTACAGTGGAATAAAACTGGAAATTGAATCCAAAATGAATTCTCAGAACTATACAAATACATGGAAATTAAATAATCTGCTCCCGAATGGTCTTTAGGTCAACAATGAAATCAAGATGGAAATTTTAAAAATCTTTGAACTGAACCATAATAGTGACACAATTTATCAGAAACTCTAGGAAGGCCGGGCACGGTGGCTCACACCTGTAATCCTGGCACTTTGGGAGGCCGAGGTGGGTGGATTACCTGAGGTCGGGAGTTCGAGACCAGCCTGGCCAACATGATGAAACCCCATCTCTACTAAAAATACAAAAATCAGCCGGGTGTGGTGGTGTGTGCCTATAATCCCAGCTACTCGGGAGGCTGAGGCAGGAGAATTGCTTGAACCCAGGAGGTGGTGGTTGCAGTGAGCCAAGATTGTGCCACTGTACTCCAGCCTGGGCAACAAGAGCGAAACTCTCAAAAAAACAAAACAAAACAAAAACAAAAACTCTGGGAGACAGCAAAAGTGGTGCTAAGAGGAAAGTTCATAGCATTAAATGCCTACATCAAAAAGTCAATCTAGACATCAAAAAGTCAACATAGACAATCTAAGGTCACCCTTCAAGGAACCAGAGAAACAAGAACAAACCAAACCCAAACCCATCAGAATAAAATAAATAGCAAAGAAATAAATGAAATTGAAATAAATTTCAGAGCAGAAATAAATGAAATTGAAACCAAGAATACAAAAGATAAATGAAATGAAAAGCTGGTTCTTTGAACAAATAAACAAAATTGACAGACCATTAGCAAGATTAACCAAGAAAAGAAGAGAGAAGATCCAAATAAGCTCAATTAGAAATGAAACAGGAGATATTGCAACCGATACCACAGAAATACAAAAGATCATTGAAGGCTACTATGAACACCTTTATGCAGACAAACTAGAAAGTCTAGAGGAGATGGGCAAATTCTTGGAAATATACAACCCTCCTAGATTAAATCAGGAAGAAATAGAAACTCTGAACAGGCCAATAGCAAGTAGTGAGATTAAAATAATAATTTAAAAACTGCCCAAAAGAAAAAGTCCAGGACCAGATGTATTCACAGCTGAATTCTATCAGACAGTCAAAGAAGAATTGGTATCAATCTTACTGAAACTATTCAAAAAGATAGAGAAAGAGAGAATTTTCCCTAATTCATTCTATGAAGCCAGTATCACCCTAATACTAAAACTGGGAATAGGCAGAAAAAAAGGAAAACCACATACCAATATCCCTGATGAACATAGGTGCAAAAATCCTCAACAAAACACTAGCTAACTGAATCCAACAGCATGTCAAAAAGATAATACGCCATGATCAAGTGGGTTTCATACCAGGGATGCAGGGATGGTTTAACATATGCAAGTCAATAAATGTGATACATCACATAAACACAGTTAAATACAAAAATCACATCATCAACTCAAAAGACACAGAAAAAACATTTGACAAAATTTACCATCGCTTTATAATTAAAACCCTGAGCAAAATTGGCATAGAAGGGACATACATCAACTTAATGAAAGCCATCTATGACAAACCCACAGAGAGAATTATACTGAACAGGGAGAAGTTGAAAGCATTCCCCTTGAGAACTGGAAGGAGACAAGAATGCTGACTTTCACCCCTTCTCAAAAGAAGACATTTATGCAGCCAAAAAACACATGAAAAAATGGTCACCATCACTGGCCATCAGAGAAATGCAAATCAAAATCACAATGAGATACCATCTCACACCAGTTAGAATGGCGATCATTAAAAAGTCAGGAAACAACAGGTGCTGGAGAGGATGTGGAGAAATAGGAACACTTTTACACTGTTGGTGGGACTGTAAACTAGTTCAACCATTGTGGAAGTCAGTGTGGCGATTCCTCAGGGATCTAGAACTAGAAATACCATTTGACCCAGCCATCCCATTACTGGGTATATACCCAAAGGACTATAAATCATGCTACTATAAAGACACATGCACACGTATATTTATTGCGGCACTATTCACAATAGCAAAGACTTGGAACCAATCCAAATGTCCAACAATGATAGACTGGATTAAGAAAATGTGGCACATATACACCATGGAATACTATGCAGCCATAAAAAATGATGAGTTCATGTCCTTTGTAGGGACATAGATGAAATTGGAAATCATCATTCTCAGTAAACTATCGCAAGGACAAAAAACCAAACACCACATGTTCTCACTCATAGGTGGGAATTGGACAATGAGAACACATGGACACAGGAAGGGGAACATCACACTCTGGGGACTGTTGTGGGGTGGGGGGAGGGGGGAGGGTTAGCATTAGGAGATATACCTAATGCTAAATGACAAGTTAATGGGTACAGCACACCAGCATGGCACATGTATACATATGTAACTAACCTGCACATTGTGCACATGTACCCTAAAACTTAAAGTATAATAATAATAAAAATAAAAAAAGAAAAAGAAAAGGGAAGTTACAAATTAAAAAAAAAAAAGACAAAACATAGGATTGGAAGTCCTAGCCAGAATAATCAGACAAGAGAAAGAAATAAAGGACATACAAATAGGTAAAGAGAAAGTCAAACCATCACTGTTCACTAATGATATGATCATATACTTCAAAAACCCTAAAGACTCATCCAAAAAGCTCCTAGATCCGAAAAATGAATTCAGCAAATTTTCAGGTTACAAAATAAATGTATACAAATAAGTAGCACTACTATACACCAATGACCAAGCTGAGAATCAAATCAAGAACTCAATCCCTTTTACAATAGTTTCCCGAAAATAAATTTAAAAAATACTTGGAATATACTTAACCAAGGAGGCTAAAAATCTCTACCAGGAATACTACAAAACACTGCTGAAAGAAATCATAGATGACACAAACAAATGGAAACACATCCCATGCTCATGGATGGGTAGAATCAATATTGTGAAAAGGACTATACTGCAAAAGGCAGTCACAAATTCAATGCAATTCCCATCAAAATACCACCATCATTCTTCACAGAACTAGAAAAAACAATTCTAAATTTCATATGGAACCAAAAAAGAGCCCACATAGCCAAAGCAAGACTAACCAAAAAGAACAGATCTGGAGGCATCACATTACCTGATTTCAAAATATAATATAAGGCCATAGTCACCAAGACAGCATGGTACTGGTATAAATGTAGGCACATAGACCAATAAAACAGAATAGAGAACCCAGAAATAAACCCAAATACTTACAGCCAACTGATCTTTGACAAAGCAAACAAAAACATAAAGTGGTAAAAGCACACCCTATTCAACAAATTGAGCTGGGATAATTGGCAAGCCACATGTAGGAGAATAAAACTGGATCCATGTCTCTCACTCTATACAAAAATCAACTCAAGGTAGATCAGGGACATAAATCTAAGACCTGAAACTATAAGAATTTTAGAAGATAACATCGGAAAAACCCTTCTAGACATTGGCTTAGGCAAGGATTTAATGACCAAGAACCCAAAAGTAAATGCAATAAGAACAAAGATAAATAGCTGAGACCTTAATTAAACTAAAGAGCTTTTGCACGGCAAAAGGAACAGTCAGCAGAGTAAACAGATAACCCACAGAGTGGGAGAAAATCTTCACAATCTATACATATGACAAAGGACTAATATCCAGAATCTACAATGAACCCAAACAAATTAGTAAGTAAAAAACAAACAATCCCATAAAATATGAGTTAAGGGCATGAATAGACAATTCTCAAAAAAAGACATACAAATGGCCAACAAACATAAGAAAAATTGCTCAGCATCACTAATAATCAGGAAAATGCAAATCAAAACCACAATGCAATACCATTTCACTCCTGAAAGAATGGCCTTAATCAAAAAATCAAAAAATAATAGATGTTGGCAAGGATGTGGTGAACAGAGAGCAATTTTCCACTGCTGGTGGGAATGTAAACTGGTACAACCACTATGGAAAACAGTGTGGAGTTTCCTTAAAGAGTCCTAAAAGTAGAACTACCATTTGATCCAGCAATCCCACTACTGGGTATCTACCCAGAGGAAAAGAAGTCATTATACAAAAAAGATACTTGCATACACATATTTATAGCAGCACGATTCACAATTGCAAAAATGTGGAAGTAACCCAATGAGTGGATAAAGAAACTTTGATATATATATATATATATATATATATATATATATATATATATATATATGATGGAATATATATATATATGATGGAATACTACTCAGCCATAAAAAGGAATGATTTAATGGCATTTGCAGTGACCTGTTTGAGATTGGAGACTATTATTCTAAGTGCAGTAACTCAGGAAGGGAAAACCAGGCATCGTATGTTCTCACTCATAAGTGGGAACTAAGCTATGAGGATGCAAAGGCATAAGCATGGCACAATGGACTTTGGGGACTCTGCAGGAAAGGGTGGGAAGGGGGTGACGGATAAAAGATTACAAATTGGTTGCAGTGTATACTGCTTGGGTGATGGGTGCACCAAAGTCTCAAAAATCTTCACTAAAGAACTCACTCATGTAACCAAACACCACCTGTTTCCCAATAACCTATAGAAATAAATTTTTTTTAAAAAAGAATAGAACAGAATAGAAAACCCAGAAATAAATCCACATATTTATAGCTGACTTACATTCAATGAAGCTATGAAGAATATTCATTGGGGATATGACATCCTTTTCTATAAATGGTGCTGGGAACACTGGATAACCATATGCAGAAGAATGAAACTGGACCCCTACTTCTCACCATATACAAAAATCAACTCAAGATAGATTAAAGACTTAAATGTAATACCTGAAACTATAAATCTGCTAGAAGAAAACATAGAAAAAGTTCTTCAGGAAATAGGTCTAGGCAAAGATTTTATGGCTAAGATCTCAAAAGCACCAGTAACAAAACCAAAAATGGACAAATGGAACTATATTAAACTAAAAAGCTTCTGCACAGCAAAAGAAACAATCTACAGGGTGAAGAGAAAACCTCTTAAATGGGAGAAAATATATGCAAGCTACTCATCCAACAGGGGATGAATATCCAGAATATACAAGGAAATCAAACATCTTCATAGTAAAAAAATAAATAATCCTGGCCAGGTGTGGTGGCTAATGCCTGTAATGTCAGCACTTTGGGGGCCTACAGCAGGAGGATCTCTTGAGTCCAGGAGTTCAAGATCAGCCCAGGAAGCATAGCTAGACCTCAGTCTCTTACTAAAATTAAAAAAAACCAAATAGCCTGGTATGGTGACATGAGCCTGTAGTCCCAGCTGAAGGACTGAGGCAAAAGGATAGCTTGAACCCAGGAATTTGATGCTGCAGTGAACTATGGGACCACTGCACACTAACCTGGGCAAGATCTAGTCTCAAAAATAAATAATTAAATTAATTAATTAATTAATTAATAACCCCATTTTTAAAATGAGCAAAGAACATGAACAGACATTTCCCAAAAGAAGACAGGCATTTGTTCTCTTCATTGAGAAAAGAAAAATGAGAGAGAGCAAGAGAAAGAAAAGAAGACATATAAATGGTCAACAGGTACATGAAAGAATGCTCAACATTACTAATCATCAGGGAAATGCAAATCAAAACCACAATGAAGTCAGGCCACAGTGGCTCATGACTGTAATGCCGACACTTTCAGAGGCCAAGGTGGGAGGATCGCTTGAGCCAGGAGTTTGAGACCAGCCTAAGCAAAGTAGTGAGATCCCATCACTACAAAAGCAAAACAAACAACCACAATGAGATATCATTTTACCCCAGTTGGGATGGCTACTATGAAAAAGACAAAACAAACAAACAAACAAAACAAAAAAACCACAGGTGTTGGCAAGGATATGGAGAAAAGGGAACTCTTATTCACCATTGCTTGGAATGTAAGTAAGTACAGCCACTATGGAAAATAATATGGAGATTTCTCAAAAAACTAAAAATAGAACTACTACACAATCAAGCAATCTCACTAATTAGTATTTATCCAAATGGAAAAGAAATTAATGTATCAAAGGGATACACACATTCTTTATTGCAGCACTATTCACAAGAGCCAAGATATGGAATCAACCTAAGGGTCCATGAATGGATGAATGGATAAAGAAAATGTAGTATATATAGACAATGAAAGTATTCAGCCATTTAAAAAGATGAAATCATGTCATTTGCAGTAACATGGATGGAAGTGGACGTCATAATGTTAAGTGAAATAAGCCAGGCACAAAAAAACAAATATCACATGTTCTCACTCGTATGTGGGAGTTTAAAAAGTTGATCACATCAGGGTAGAGAGTAGAATGATAGATACCAGAGACTAGGAAGTGGACGGAGATACAGAGATGTTGGTTAATGGTTATGAACCTATACTAATATAAAGAATAAATTCCAGTGTTTGATAGCAGAGTAGGGTGACTATAGTTAACAACAATGTGTAGTATTTTTCAAAAAAACTAGAAGAGAGGACTTGAAATGTACTCAATGCATAAAAATGATAAATTGTGGGTGATAGATACCCTAAACACCCTGACTTCATCATTACATTGCATGCATGTAACAAAATATCACATATAACCCATGAATATGTTCAAATATAATGTATCAAAAAATTTTAGAACTAAAAACAAAAACCAAAGCCCCCAACCCAAACATGTAGTTTAGTTTTTATTTTACAGAAACAAAGCATAATGACATTTTCACTTATACATTCCAAATCTTCAGAACTTACATTATTACGTAAATGAATACATCAAAATATTAAGATACATATTTTTCATTTCTAAATTACAACCAGTTGGTAAATAGGCAAAAAAAAGATGAATAAATAGAGTGACAAGAAAAAGAAGATAGGAGAGAGCCAAATCCAGAGAAAAAGGAAAGAAAATAAGAGCAAGTATAGGAATGAAATTGTCCTTATACAGAGGCTGACTTACCTTTAATCTAAAAAGACTTAATATTCGGGACCCCTTCTTGCAGGAGCCTTTTAACATCATATATTTTTGTACAATCTGCAAAAAGTAAGATAATTTAACAGCAAATTGTTAAGACTGTTGTATTTCTTCATTCTGACTTCTCATCCATCATACATTTTGCCCCTTGTTAGGCGGCAATAGAGTGACCATAGATATTTCAGAGATTCAAATAAGGGAAAGTTAAGTTGGGGATACACAAGGTAGAAAATGTATTTATGGCTTTACATTCACTCCATGCATAGTTAAATTATTACACGGGCTTAATCAGGGACATAGATAGGTTTAAACTAAGGATGACTGATTCTTATACTAATGATCTTAGAACTCTCAATATTGTGTTTTATGTGCTTACTAATCACTATAGGCCTTGATTCTTCAATGTAAAGCCATAATAAGATATTGTTACTTGCCAACATTTGATATTGTTTACCTCCTCTCTACCCAGCGAGAGGCAGAGAAGTAGTAAATAAAAGGCATCAACTCATTATTCTAGTCATTTACTCTCTGTCACGCTATTGTACACTACACTTTAGCCATACTGGACGCCTTACTTTTACCAGATCATGTACTTGATGTACTTGGCTATTCTCTCTCCCCAGCCTCAAATGAATCTGCCCAAGCACATCTATACAGGTTATTATTAATTTCTTGCTGGTATTACTTGAAATACTGACATTGATGAAGATAATCCCTCATTTCTAATTTACTATGACAACAATGACATCAATGATAAACTGGTTAATGAGTGTCATTAATTCTAGGAGTATCTAAGATTAATGATTACCGTATAGTAACTGAAGAGGAATAAAATTATTTTTCTTCTAGTCCCAGACATAATGTATGTTTGATCCATTGTATTCTCCCAACAAGGAGTGACTATGGTTTGCTGGTCAAAGTGGTAGATTATGGTAGTCATAACACATCATTCGGTTATCTCCCAGATCCATACTATATTAATGCAATATATACACTTGGCTACTGGAAGATGTCCAATATCAACTTCCACTTCTGAAATAAGAGATTATGAAGGAAGAGACTAGTAGAAAGACCTGAGTTTCCAATTCTATCCCCAGTTGTCAATAAAAAACAATACCGTAGATTGCCTTCCTCTTTTTGGCTATGATGGAATAGCTTGTACAATATTAATGTTCCTTCCAATAATAATGAGTAAAGCCAGATAAAACACAAAAAATAGGCCAGGCACAGTGGCTCATACCTGTAATCCCAGCACTTCAGGAGGCCAAGGCAGGAGGATCACTTGAGCCTAGGAGTCTTAAGACCAGCTTGGGCAACATAGCAAGACCCAGACTCTATAAAAATAAAAAATCAACTGGGCATGGTGGCCCATGCCTATAGTCCTAGCTACTTGGGAATCTGAGGCAGGAGGATTGCTTGAATACTGGAGCTCAGGAAGCTGAGTCTGCAGTGAGCTATGATCACACCACCGCACTCCAGCCTGGGTGACAGAGCAAGACCCCCTCTCAAAGGAAAAAAAACTACAAAAAATATACGCTTGAGGGAATCATAAAACTCTCAAGGTGATGACAGCTTGAGAAGACAAGATCATGAAAAGAAGATAACAAGAGAGGAGCCAACATTCTCCAGTTGCTTTACTCCTAAAGATTATCTTATTTTTAGGGCAGAGCAACAGACTGATAATTCTAGCAAACAACTTATGGCCATGGAGAGACAAAGAATGGTATCTGGGGCTGCCAAATTTAAGGGATCAGGATGTCAGTGAAACAGTAGACAATGACAGCCAGAAAAAGCTTAAACTCTGCTTCAAGTCAGATCCATTCCAGATTAAAATAAGGATCATTTTCTACTCTATATGCCTAACAGAGGATAGGGCTAATTCCTTCTGGAAGAAAAGTGCATCACTGAGAAAAATAATGAATAACTTAATTATTGGATTAGAGATAAACTTTATAATAGCTATAATGAATATGTAAAAAGATAATAGAAATCATAATGAAAAATTTTATTAAAGAAATAGAATGTATAGAAAAGAATTAATAGAAATTCTAGAACTAAAAAATGATGATATAAATTTTTAAAAACTCCTATAGATGGGTCAATATTGGCAAAAATAACAAAGTAAGAACCTCCAAAAACTCTCCTCTCCATAAAAGCAACAAGAAAAGTGACAAAAATTGAAAAAAAAATCAACTCTTTCAGAACTCTGGAAATTAACCAAAGTCTTGCAGCAATCCAGAGAACATTTACTAAAGAAAAATGGTGCAATCTCAATAAGAACAGTTTTGTGACATTTTAACTTGTACAATTCCCATTCTGTCCTCTCGGGTTCTGCAGTAGACTTGAGAACCAACAAGCTGTAATCATGGTGAAAATCAGCAGCCTGGAGGGAGCAGAACAGAGCTGGGGCTTTTCCAAAACCTTGTGATCAGAGAATTGTCATTATTTTACCTGTCTGGTGGTTTCCTGGAATACCCAATTTGCAAAGTAGTTCTCATTTGACCTGATTGGGAACTTGCCCGGTGCAAAAATCCTTTTCCATGAAAATATTTATTGGAAACAATTAAAGGCAACCGAATTGCCTGAGGCAGTGGATAACAGTTGAGGAAAACAAGAGATTAAATAAAAAGCTTAAAGGGAAAATCTGGGAAATGAGATGTCCAAGGGGCTTTGATTATTTCCATCATATTCCTGGAAATCTAGAAGGCCATGTACATATGTAGGATGGGGTGCATACTTAGGAAAGACCTGAGAAGATTGTAAGCTTTCTTCTTGGACTGGCCTTGGTGCTCTGTACAAGGAGGAAATAAAGGGTAAAGTGGAGTTGTCAACTGTCTGGCTGAGTGTTGAAGGTATCACCAACATGCACACAGAACCTGCTGTGGTTTGAATATGGCTTGTCCTCATCAAAACTTATTTTGAGGCTTGGTTCCCAATCTGGTGGTGTTGGGAGATGGTGCCTTTAAGAGGTGCTTAGGTCATTAAGTTGGATTGGTGTCTTTCTTGAAAGACTGGGTTAGTTATGAAGTTCCCTTGAGAGTGGGTTGTTATAAAGTGAGTTTGCCTCTCTTGTTTTGTCCTGTTCACATATACCTCGTTCTCCTTTTGTTTCTCTGCCATGTTTTGACACAGCACAAGGACCTCAGCAGAAGCCACCAAATCAGCTGTCTAATATTGAACTTTCCAGCCTGCAGAACCATGAGTAAAATAAACCTCTTTTCTTTATAAATTACTTCATCTCAGGTATTCTCTTATAGGAACACAAAACAAAGAAAAAGCTCCCCAGGAAAGACTAGGAGATATGTTTATTCCAGGCATTTTAGGAAACCTTTGTTCAAACATTAGGTGACCACTAAGCTAACTGAGAAAAAATGTAATAGCTACACATAACAAAGAATCAGACTTTGCAAGATTTGTTCAGAAAAGTCACAAAATAAAACAACAACAAACAATGAAAGCAAACCCTAGAAGGGAAAGCGAGGGAAGAATCTCATTATCTGGGTTGCCACATTATATTACACAAAATATCTAGTTTTCAACAAAAATTACAAGACATGCAAAGAAATAATAAAGCATGGCCTGTACATAGGGGGGAAATTAATAAATAAAAAATGTCTCTAAGGAAGCCCAGCATTTAGACTTACTAGACAAAGACATTAAATAAGCATTTAAAATATATTCAAAGAATGGAAGGAAATCATGTTTACTAAAGGCAAGCATATGAATGATGTCTCACCACCCAATAGAGACTACAGCAACAGGAATTATATAAGAAAAGAACCAAATAGAAATTCTGGAGTTGAAAAATACAATAACAGAAATGAAAATTTCACCAGACTGGCTTGACAGCAGATTTGAGCAAGGCAGAAGAAATAATCAACAAAGTTAAATGTAGGTTAATTTTGATTATCCAGTTTGAGGAAGAAGAAGAAAAATGGGAAAAGAAAAATGAACAGATCCTCAGAGACCTGTAGAACACCATCAAGCAGACCAAAATATGTATAACTGTAGTCCTAAAATGAAAAAAAGGGTGCCAGAAAAAATATTTGAAGAAATAATGGCTGAAAACTTTGCAAATTTGATAAAAAATGTTAATCTACATATCTGAGAATCTTAATGAACTATAAGTAGAATAAACTCAAAGAGATCCACACCTACACACATTGTAATCAATCTGTTGAAAGTTGAAGACAAAGATATCTTGAAACCATTAAGAGAGAAATGACTTATCACATTCAAGCAAGAAGATTGACAGATGATCTTTCATTAGAAGCCATGGAGGGTCAGGTGCGGTGACTCATGCCTTTAATCCTAGCACTTTGGGAGGCTGAGGTGGGAGGATTGCTTGAGTGTAGGAGTTCAACACTCCATCCCTATTTAAAAGAAAAAAGTAAAAACATAAAAAAGAGAGACAGAGGAAGATAAAAAGAAAGAGAGAGAGAGAGAAAGAAAGAAAGGAAGAGAAAGAAAGAGAACCATGGAGGCTAGAATGCAATTGAAAGACTTATTCAAAGTGCTGAGGGGAAAAGCTGTCAGCCAAAAACTCTAAATGAAGGAGAAATTAAGACATTTTCAGGTAAAAAGAAACAGAGATTTCATCATTAGCAAGACAGCTGTACTAAAATACTTTCAGGCTGAAGTGAAAGGACACTAGAATATAGTGTAATATAGTCAAATCCATGTAAGGAAATAAAGACACCAAAAAGGTAACTGAAATAGGTGAATATAAAAGACAATATAAATGTACTTTTTAATGACTTTTTCTCCTATTTAATTTAAAACTTCAGCAAACAATATTTATAAATCTGTGTTGATAGGCACACATGTAAGAATGGTATAATTTGTATGACAATAACAGCACGGGGGTAGGGAACAGAGCTGTATAGAAATAAAGTGTTTGTATACTATTGAAATTAAGTTGGTATTAATACAAACTAGATTATTAATATGCTAATTTTAATCTGTAGGGTAGTCACTAAGACAAAAAAGTAGAGGAACTAAAAATGTAGAGTAAAAGAAATGATAAGTGAATTAAAATGATACATAGAAAATGTCTATTTAACACAACAAAAAGCAGTAATAGAGGAATAGAGGAACAAAAAAGATATAAGAAAAATAGAAAATAAACAATGAAATGGCAGACATAAAAATATGTTACAGTAATCACACTAAATATAAATACATTACATTTCAATTTAGACAGGTTAGCAGAATGGATAAAATAAAAATGATGCAACTATATATTCTCTGCTGGAGACAAACCTTAGATACAAAGTTACAAAGAGGTTGAAAGTACAAGGCAGGAAAAGATACACCATGTAAAGAGCAACCAAAAGAAAGCTGGAGTGGCTACACTAATGCCAGACAAAATAGACCTTAATACAAACATACCACTAGAGAAAAGTAAGGACATTTTAATGATAAAAGAGAAAGTTATAGCTGTAAATACCTACATTAAAAAAGAAGAAAAATTGCAAATCAGTAACAACCTTCCACTTTAAGAAATTAGAAAAGAGGCCGGGTGCGGTGGCTCACTCTGTAATCCCAGCACTCTGGGAGGCCAAGGAGGGTGGATTGCTTGAAGTCAGGAGTTTGAGATCAGCCTGGCCAACATGATGTAACCCCATCTCTACTAAACATACAAAAATTAGCCTGGCGTGGTGGCAGGCACCTATAACCCCAGCCACTCGGGAGGCTGAGACAGGAGAATCGTTTGAACCCGGGATGGGGAGGTTGCAGTGTGTGGAGATCAGGCCCCTGCACTCTAGCCTGGGTGACAGAGCAAGACTCCATCTCAAAAAAATAACCCTGTCTCAAACAAACAAATAAACAAACAAAAAAAGAAAAGAAAAGAAAAGAAATTAGAAATGAGTAAGACAAACCAGAACTAGTGAAAGGAATGTTAGAATGGGAATAAATGAACTAGGAAATAGAAAAAGATAGAGAAAATCAACAAAACTAAGTTTTTGCTTTTAAAGAATCAAAACTGAGGAAACTTTAGCTAGATTGAGTAAGAAAAAAAAGAAAGGAATTGAATTACTCAAATCAGGAATAAAAGATGAGACCTTTCTACCACTTTACAGAAATGAAAAACAATATAAGGGAATACTGTGTACAATTGCGTGCCAACAATTAGATAATCTAGATAAAATGGACACATTTTGTGCTGGGCAGGGTGGCACACATCTGTAGTACCAGCTACTAGGGAAGTTGAGGCAGGAGGATTGCCTGAACCCAGGAGTATGGGGTTATCGTGCACTGTAGCCTGGGCAACATAGCAACCTGTCAAAAAAAAAAAAGACAAATTTCTCGAAAAACATAACTACTAAAACAATGAAAAAGAATACAATATTTCAAAGTATTTTATCTTTTATAATGTTCTTTGACAAAAATAGAACAGAGCTAGAGATCAATTACAGAAAGATAACCAAAAAATTTTGAAGAGTTTAGAAATTAAGAAATACAAATTAAAATAATCCATAGATCAAAGAAGATAATCAGAGATTAAATCTAATTATTATCAGATCCCTGACAATAAAAAATTGAAAATATCAGTTGGGTGTGGTGGCTCATGCCTGTAATCCCAGTACTTTGGGAGGCCAAGGCAAGAGGATTGCTTGAGCCTAGGAAGTTCAAAACCAGCCTGGACCACATGATGAGATCCTATCTCTACGAAAAATAAAATATAAGTTAGCTGGTGTGGTGCTGCATGCCTGAGGTCCTAGCTTCTTAGGAGGCTGAGGTGGGAGGATCACTTGAGCCCAGGAGTCCAAGGCTGCAGTGAGATATGACAGCACCACTGCACTCCAGCCAGGGCAACAGAGTGAGACCCTGTCTTGAAAGAAAAGAAAAGGAAAGGAAAGAAAAAGAAAAGAAGGAAGGAAGAAAGAAAATTGAAAATATTGCAAATTATACTTGCATTACAAAATATTATAACATAAGATGAAGCTGAAGTCAGGTCTAGACAAAAATTATATGCAACCTTAAGTGCATATAATTAATTGGAAAGAAAGAAATACTGAAAATCATATACTTAGAAAAAGAATGTCAAATTTAACCCAAGAAAAGTAAAAGTAAGGGAATTATATACATAAAAGAAGAAAATAATTTGATAGGAAATAATAATACAGTAGAAAAACATCAACAACACTAAAGGCTTGTTTCTTTGAAAAGACTAATAGGATTGATAAAATTTTAGCAAGACTGTGGAAGATTTTAAAACAAGACAGAAGGCATGAAATTCCAATATCAGGAATGAAAAAGGTACTGTCATTATGGGTCCTGTAGACATTAAAATTACAATAGAAAATATTATAAATAACTTTATGCTGACAAATTTGAAAAGCTAGATGAAATAGACATATTCTAGAAAACACCACTTACTAAAATGAACTCAAGAAATAATAGAAAAATTTTCATAATCCTGTATCTATTAAAGAAATTGAGTTGGTAATTACAAAACTTTCCACAAAGAAATCTGTAGGCAAAGATGATCTTATTGGGTGAATTCTTCTAAATATTCAGTGAAGGCATTTGCTAACCTTACACAAGCGATTCCAAAAGACGGGGGAATAAAGGAACATTTCTCAACTCATGCAGCAATATGCCAAATCCTCATAAGCATGAAGCAAAAACAAAAACAAAAAAGCAAAAGTAAGGCTCATCTCATTTTTAAACACAGATACAAAACTCCTAAAAGATCTATTAGTCAATTAAATATAACACTAGGTAAAATAATGACCAAGTTGAGTTTATTCTATGAACATAGGGTAAGTTTAATATATGAAAATCAAGCAATGAAAATAGTAACTTATGGTTGAAAAATCTGTCAGTTACCACTAAAATCAAGTAGTCAAAATTAGCATCACAGGGTAAGTTTAATATACGAAAATCAAGCAATGAAAATAGTAACTTTATGGTTGAAAAAATCTGTCAGTTACCACTAAAATCAAGTAGTCAAAATTAGCATCACTGATAACAGAACAAATCAACATCATATGTCTCCTGATTCAATGCACGGAGATACAATATCAACTATGAAGAACTCCTGCCTTTGTCATATCCTCTATGAGCTATTTAGTTCCTTTCCAATAAATGCCTTTTCTGCTTAATTATTCAAGTTTGCATTCTATTGTTTAAAATCAAGAACCTGCATTAGTACAGTAGTAATAGTTATTGAGCACTAATGCTCACAGCAGTGTTTCAACATAGATATTATTTATCCTTATTCTAAGATGAGGCAATAGGTAGTTATAGTTAAGAATATGACCCCAAATCACATACACAATAATAGGTGAAGGAAAGAATAAATTTCAAGTTTACCTGTCTCCAAATTTCATTCTTTTAGACTCTCTAACCCTTCTCCCTTGACCATGCTTGGCATTTTTGACTAAGTGATTTTAGCCAGGAACCTGGTTTACCCAAATACACAGAATCATCAATCTGTCTCCCTCCATACCCTTCCTTGGGATTTAAGGATGTCAGAAGTTAAGGAGAGAAGATAAACATGTGCTTTTACTGTGATGCTCTCTGGGGAAAAGTTATGTGGGGTCCAGATAAAAATCACTGCCTCTCAGAGAACAAAGACATGCTATTCCCAGGGGGCTGCTCATGAGATCTTTTTATAAGGCTCCAAACAGTAAGACTAGATGTAGGGCTAGCTCCCGAGTGATGGAAAAGAATTGGGACAGCTCCCTCCTGGGGGTATCTCTCTCTCTCTGTCTCTCTCTCGACTCCAAACAGCATCACAAGAGAACCTCAAGTTTTGTATTATTTATTCCAGGAACCCCAAAGGGAAGGTGAAAGAAACTTGGGGAGAAAAAAATCTCCCTTGAATGCATGAAAAAACAGGTGTTGGGGTGATGTTGATGTTGAGATAGCCAAGTGCAGGCACCTGACTGCCACCTGGGGATGGGAGCAGGAGGGTGTGCTAGAGACCGTGGATTCAGAGGTTACTAGTGTAGACGTGCAGGGAGCCACAGGCCTGGATGAGTTCTCCAGAGCAGCAGGTGTAGAGTGATAAGAAGAGGGCTGACGACTAACATCAGGTGTGTAGTTTTAGGAGTGAAGAAGAAGAGTATTCAACAGAGGGGACAGGTTTTCATTCCTGCTTTGGCACCTGGAGCAATGGGAAGTGTTTGATTGCCTGTGCTACTTGAACATTCTCCTTCCCCGACAGCTTCCACGGCCTCTTTGTAGACTGTCTCCTTGCTCACCTTCACCTCAGATTGTCCCCTGGATTTGAGGCCCCAGCCATCATGACATGTTCAGGCTTCTGAACAGGGCTGTGAGGAGGGGGGATGGAGGGAAAATATCAGGGAAAGGATTTATCTGAATGCATGTAGAGACTTCAAAGAAGCTCTTTTCCTGGGAAATTCTGGTAACATTTCTCTCTATCCAATAAAAAGTGGGTGAAAGGCAGTGTCACTAGTTTCTGGCAGACTAAGCCCCTGAGAAGGTCCTGCTGCACGGATGTGTGTAACTGAAGCTGTGTGGAGGGAGCTTGTGATCTATACAGAAGTAGCAAGGGCAAGAGGAACAAGAGAGGTTCAAAGGCACCAAGTGCAGAGGCAGTGGGTGGGGAGACCCAGGCATGGAAGCCAGTGTTTCACTGTGAATACTTGGAAAGTCCCTGGCTGGCTCCAAACAGTAGAATATGGCTGGATTCTAGAGTCTGTTGTCAGAATAATGAGAATTAATACGGAAGCTCATTTTCAGACTTATCATTAGTTATGAGATGATGGAGGGTTAAGGAAACCACAGTAAGAGGAAGAGATTCTAAGGCTAGCTTCTTAGGACCCCACCCCATCCCTAAATTTTCAGATGGGAGAGAGAGGAGTGTTATGCATCTCTGTATCATTCTTTTTTGGAGCTGAGAGAGACAGAAAGGAGAGGGGAGGGGAGGGAAGGGGAGGAAGAGATGAAGAGGGAGAGGGGAGGGGAGGGAAGGGGAGGAAGAGATGAAGAGGGAGAGATGGAGAGGGAGAGATGGAGAAGGAGAGAGGGGGAGGGAGGGAGGGGAGGGAGAGGGGGAGAGAGAGAAGAGAAAGGGAGAGAGAGTGGGGAGAGAGGGAGAATAAGTATAAATCATCAATTAATCTGTGGATGTCTGATTGTCCACCTTCTGGATTATTTCAGACACTGAAATTTGTGAATAATGATAAGCAGGGCCTGGATCAGGAGAGCACTTCAAAAGATAAGGACTTGTACATAGGATGTTAAAGCCTGCTAAACAGGTCCTCACAGGCCCACCTTTTACTGCTTCCTCTTGAAATAAGCCTCTTCTGCCCTTCCCACCCTGTCATTACCACTGTCCCCAATACCACAAAGTGGAGGATTGTGGAAATCCCTTAAGAAAAAGAAAAGAAGCTCATTGTCTACATCAGAAATTCTCTGTAACTCCCATCCTCCCACTTCCTCATGCTGCCTGACTGCCTTCCTTATCACTCTACATCAGTTGGATTGTATCAACGTTTGGCCTTTCTTAAACCTCCTACTCTGGTGTCCAGAGGACAGATTTCTGTCCCAGAGCAGATATGAATGTTACAAGGGGAGTGTTTGATAGACAAAGGACCCCATGTTACTTTTGCAGTTGAAACTAGCCTCTGTATAAGGAATTAAAAGACTATGAGAAGAAAGTAATGATGGAGACATTATTCTCCCTATTGTCATGGATCAATGGCATCATCTGGGGATTAGGCCAATGGCTGCTTTGAAGGAATATTTTATAAAGTAGACATTATCAGTGATGAATTTGAGTGTGAGTTGAAATGGAAGTATAGTAAAGTGATAAGACTCCTTGATGAATCAATGTTTGGTGTAAGGAAAGAGGAAGAGAGAGACAAGATAATATGAAAATCTGATGGCTGATAGAGGTGGAGAGCCAACATCACAGCTCAGGGATGAGTATGATGTATCACTGAATTCTCCCTGTTGGCCTGTGACAGCATTTGTGGTTGGAGAAATGAGAAGTGAAAGAAAAACTCACGCCTAGAGGTACCACATTTGTCAAAAATAATAGAAGAGAAAACCATGCCAGACAGTCTTAGAGAAGATAAAAAGTTATCACATGATTTCAGGGCATTAGGAAGTCCCTGCTTTTTCAGCCACTCCCATCTTATAGTTGTGTCTTAAATTTATCCATTAGAGCTGGGCGTGGTGGCTCACGCCTGTAATCCCAGCACTTTCGGAGGCCGAGGCAGGCGGATCACGAGGTCAGGAGATCGAGACCACGGTGAAACCCCGTCTCTACTAAAAATACAAAAAATTAGCCGGGCGCGGTGGCGGGCGCCTATAGTCCCAGCTACTCGAGAGGCTGAGGCAGGAAAATGGCGTGAACCCAGGAGGCGGAGCTTGCAGTGTGCCGAGATCGGGCCACTGCACTCCAGCCTGGGCGACAGAGCGAGACTCTGTCTCAAAAAAAAAAAAAAAAAAAAAAAAAAAAATATATATATATATATATATATATATATATATTCCATTAGAAAGTTGCTCTGGGCGAATGGAATTTGTTCATTGTTATAACTTCTTAAAACACAATATCCCTTGTCTAGATTCAAGACATATATATTTGAGTCCCATGCAAATACGGGACACTATGGGTACAGTAAATGAACGACCATATGGAAGAGTTACAGGAGCTAAGATGAAACATGAATCATTAAAAACTGAGGATAACTGAAGGACCTAAGTCCTACAGGGGGGTCTTTACTCTGAATCCTGCCACTAAGTGCTCAATAAAATCGAGTTAAGTAAGTGAGTAAATGAATGAATGATAAATGAATGAATAAGTATGGATTTTGTTTTCAAAGATAGAAAGGATTCACAAAAGCAGAGATTATGAGGTATGAAAAAGGTTTTTTTCTAAGAATAGACCCTCAAACACTCTTAGATTCTTGCTGTTTTCTGAGTACCCCAATGTCAACTGTCTATTCCAGAAGTAAACCCTCAAGTATATGGTCAAATGATCTTCCACCAGGGTGCCAAGAGTATACAATGGGGAAAGGTCAATCTCTTCGACAAATTGCGTTGGGAAAACTGGATATCCACATGGAAAATAATGAAGTTGGATTCTTACCTGACACCATATGCAAATACAAAAATTAACTCAAAATGGATAAAAGACCTAAATGTAAGAGCTAAAAGTATCAAACTCCTAGAAGTTCTATCAAACATAGAAGAAAACTTTATGACATTAAATTTTGCAACAATTTATTGGATATGACCAAAAACAGGCAACAAAAAATACACAAATCCAACTTCATCAAACTTAAACATTTCTGCACATCAATGAAAACAATCAACAGAGTGAAAAACAATATGAAATAAGATATTTGCAAATTATCTTTTCAGTAAGAAGTTAATATCCAGAATATATAAGGAGCTTCTACAACTCAACAGCAGCAACAATGACAAATAGCCTGTAAACATCCTCAGCAAAATACTAGCAAAATGAATGCAACAGCACATTAAAAGGGTCTTTTATCATGATCATGTGGGTTTTATTCCAAGGATGCAAGATGTTTCAACATACTCAAATCTAAAAATGTGACATACCACTTTAACAGAATGAAGAATACTAACCATATTAATATCTCAATAGACTCTGAAAAAGCATTTGACAAAATTCAACATCCTTTCGTGATTTAAAAAAAAAACTCTCAACTAATAAGGAATGCACCTCAACACAATGAAGGTCATATATGACAAACTCATAGCTAATATCATTCTCAATGGTGAAAAGTTGAAATTTTTTTCCTCTAAGACCAGGAACAAGACAAGGAGGTCCACTCTAACCATTTCTATTCAACATAGTACTGAAGTTCTAGCCAGCAATTAGGCAAGAGTAAGAAATAAAAATCATCCAAATTGGAAAGGAAAAATGTAAATTGTCACTGTTTGTAGATGACATGATTATATAAATAGAAAACCATAATAACTCCACTTAAAAACTATGAAGTAATAAAGAAATCTAGTTGCAACAGAATACAGATTGTACTGAAAAAAAAATAAAGGAATCTTGTAAAGTTGCAGGATACAAAAATCAACATACAAAAATCAGTAGCATCACACTAACAAAGAACTATCTGAAAATGAAACCAATAAAACAATCTCATTTACAATAGCTAAAAATAAGTAAATAAGTGAAATAATACATTTAACAAAGGAGGTGAAAGACCTATACGCTTAAAACTATAAAACACTGATGAAGGAAATTGAAGAAGTCACAAACAAATGGAAAGATATCCTGTGTTTATAGATTATAAGAATCAATATTGTTAAAATGTCTGTACTACCCAAAGTGATCTGCAGATTTGATGCAATCCCTATCAAAATTTCCTTACATTTTTCACAGAAACAGAAAAAAAAATCCTTAAATTCATATGGAACCACAAAAGACCTTGAATAGCCAAAGCAATTGTGAGCAAAAAGAACAAAACTGGAGGCATCATACTATCTGATTTCAAAATATACTAATATACTACAAAGCCATAGTAATCAAAACAACATGGTACTGACATAAAAACAGATGCATTGACAAAATAGTCCAGAAACAAATCCACACATTCATGGTCAATTGATTTTCAACAAAGGTGCCAAGAACCAACAATGGGTAAAGCATAGTCTCTTCAATAAATGGTATTGGGACAACTGAATATCCACATGTAGAAGAATGAAACTAGACTGTCATCTCACACCATATGCAAAAATCAACTCAGAATAAAGGCTTACACATAAGACCTGAAACTGTAAAACTACTAGAAGAAAACATAGAAGAAAAGCTCCATGACATTAGTTTGGGCAATAATTTTTTGATATAATTCCAAAAGCACAGGCAACAAAAGCAAAAATAGACAAATGGGATTATATAAAACTAAAAACCTTGTTTTTCTTACAGCCAAAGAAACAATCAATAGAGTGAAGAGACAACATATGGAATGGGACAAAACATTTGCAAACCATATGCTTGATAAGGGGTATAGGAATCCAAACAACTCAATAGCAAGAAAACAGCCTGATTTTAAAATGAGCAAAGGATTTGAAAAGACATTTCTCAAAAGTTGACATACAAATGGCCAACAGGCATATGAAAAAAATGCTCGACATAGCTAATCAGAGAAATGAAAATTAAAACCACAGTGAGATACCATCTCACAACTGTTAGAATGACTATTGCCAAAGGCAGGTAACAAGTGCTGGCAAGGGTGTGGAGAAAAGGGAACTCTTGTACACTGTTGGTGGGAATGTAAATTATATAGTCATTATGGAAAACAGTATGGAGGCTCCTTAAAAAATTAAAAATAGAACTACCATGTGATCCAGCAATCTCATTTCTGAGCATACACCCAAAGGAAATGAAATCAGCACTTCATAGAGATACTTATGCTCCATGTTCATTGCAACATTGTTCACAATAGCTAAGATATGGAAACAACCTAAGTGTGTATCAACAGATAAATGGATAATGAAAATGTGGTATATACACACAATGGCATACTATTGAGCCTTAAAAAAGAGTAAGATCCTGTCACTCACAACAAAAATGGATGAACTTGAAGAACATTATGTTAAGTGGATATGCCACAGAAAGACAAATACCACATAATCTCATTTATATGTGAATCCAAAAAAGTTGAACTAATAAAAATAGTGAATAGAATGGTGGTTATTAGGAGCTGAAAATGCTGCTGGTTGGAAAGATGTTTGTCCCAGGTTACAAAATTTCAGCCAAATAGGAGGAATATGTTCAAGAGGCCTAGTGTACAATGTGGTGAATATAATTAATAACAATGCATTGTATTCTTGCAAATTGCTAAGAGAGTAGGTTTTAAGTGTTCTCACCATAGAAGTATATAATGCATATATTAATTAGGTCAATTTAACCATTCCACAATGCATACATATTTTAAACATCACGTTGTACATGATAGGTATATATGATTTTTCTTTGTCAATTAAAAAAGCAAATAACCTGGTTTAAAAATGGGCAAAGGACTTGAACAGATAATTCTTCAAATAATATATACAAATAGCCAACAAGTGTATGAAAATATGTGTAACACCATTAATTATTCGAGAAACATGAATCAAAACCACAATGAGATAGATATTATCTCACAGCCATTAAGGTGGCCACTACAAAACCAACCCAACAAAAAAAATAACAAGTGTTAGCGAGGATGTCAAGAACTGGAATCCTGGTGCACTGTTGGTAGGAATGTAAATGGTGCAGCCACCATGGAAAACAGTATGAGATTTCCTAAAAAGTTTACAAATAAAATTATCACATGATTCAGCAATTCCATGTCTAGATACATACCCAAAGGAAACAAAATCAGCATTTAATAAAGATATTTCTGCTTTCATGTACATTGCAGCATTATTTACAATAGACAATGGGTGTAAACAACCGAAAAGTTTATTGACAGATAAATGAATAAAGAAAATGTGGTGTGTATATATATATATATATATATATATATGTATATGCAGTGGAATATTATTCAGCCTTAAAAAAAGAAGAAATCCTCTTACATGGTACAACATGGATGAACATTATGGTAAGTGGAATAAGCCAGTCACAAAAAGATAAATACTGTATGATTACACTTATAAGAGATATCTAAAGTCAAAATAATAGAAACAGAGTGGGGGTTTCCAGGAGCTGGGAAGAGCGGGAAATAGGGAGTTGTTCCCTGAGGATAAAGTTTCATTTTGCATATAAAAAAGTTCTAGAGTTGTCACACAACAATGTGAATATTATTTACCCAACTGAGCTATACACATAAAAGGGTTAAGAGGATAAATCAGATATGGATGAGACTCAAGGTATGATTCATTGTGAGGCAAATTGCTCTCCAGCTGTGAAATCGAATATGCTATTTGCTTCCAAAATATAATGATGGGACAGGCATAGGATAGAAATTCTTATTCCAAAAGGAAGAAAAGGGAGAGAAGAAAAGTGTACCAGGTCCTGAGCAAGTCAAGTTTCCAGAATAATCTTTTTGAATCAAGGTTCTGCCCTCCAGGCACACTGGGGAGGTGGCCTCTGCCTCATGGCTTTGTGCAGCCCTGCCCTCATAGTTGCTCCCTTTGGTGGCCCTACCTCTGAGGCAGCTGGGTGCCCGAGGCTCTCCCAGGCTGAAATTGTATACCAGTGGTTCAATTGGTCTAGGGCCTCAGGGGTGGCCTTACCCTACTGCTTCACTGGGCATTGCGCAGTGCAGTCTCTCCATGGTGGCCCTGCACATGGTGGCTTTCTGCCTACGCACTGTGGCTTTCCAGAGCATCCTTTGAAATCTAGGTGGAGGTTACCATGCCCGCACAGCTTTTCAGAGCACAGCACTCACTAAACCAGGATCTGTTGGAGCCATACCTGGGGTAGCCTAGGAGCCCTGTGATGGAATGTGGAGAGCAGAGCCTCAAGGTGGCCCATGATAGTGAGTGCTGAAGCCCCACAAGTACCTGCAGCCCCTCCTTTGAAATCATTCTGTCCCTCATGCCCTTGTATTCCGCACCTCGGATAGGAGTGGCAGCCCTGATCTGAAATGTCTTTGGGTCATTCTTTCATTGCCTTGATGAATAGCACCCAGATTCCACTGAGATGGTTGATCCATACTAATTTCCTCATCCGATGGTTACATAGACACACCACTGGTGTTCTGTCCTGAACATGATTTCTTAGTTTTCACAATATGGATAGGCTAAGAATTTTCTTAATCTTTAAGTTCTGCTTCCTTTTGAATTAAAATTCTATCTGGTGCCATCCCCTGATCTCAGCGGCAGGGGCTGACAAACTTGAATCCAGAGGGTGAACTAGAGGAGGTGGGGGGCATCTTCCCTCCTGCCCTGGTGAAGAGTTGCAGCAAGCTCCCCGCGCCTCTCCTCCCTGATCCACCGGCCACCGCAGCCCATGTGATCCAGGGAAGTTGGGGTGCCCCCTCACCCCGCACCTGGGTGGCCTGGACGCGGGGTCCCCTCAGCCCCTCAGGGTTCCAGCGCCACTTGTGTAGGTCCATCTGCAGTGGGCCACGTGTGCACATCGGGCAGGGGGACCACACCAGCATCTAGTTTTCAGTGGAAACTTATTGAGTAAGGAAGAGCTAAAGGTAAGTGAGAAAGGGTGATTAGTTAGCCAGGGCCACCATAACAAGATACCACAGGCTGGGTGGCTTAAACTTAAACTTATTTTCTCAGAGTCTGGAAGTCCAAGATCAAGTTGCCAGCAAGGTAGGTTCCATTCTGAGGCCTCTCTTGCTGGCCTGGAGATGACTGCCTTCTCACTGTGTCCTCACAGGGCCTCTGTGCATTTGCTCTCCTGGTGTCTCTTCCTCTTCTTATAAGGACACCAGTCCTTATAAGGGGCCTTAGGGCCCCACCTGGATAACCTCATTTCACCTTAATTACCTATTTAAAGGCCCTGTCTCCAAAGCATTCACATTAGGTGTTAAGGTTTCAACATAGGAATTTCGAGTTGTGGGGAGGGATAAAATTCAGTCCTTAACAGAGGTATAGCTCCTGGAATAATTAAACTTGCAAACAATAGTAACTGCACTTTAGGGCAGGAGCATGACCCTAAGCCAGGGTTTCTCAACCTGGCACCATTGCCATTTAGGGCTGAATAATTCTTTGTGCTGGGGGCTGTCCTACGCATTCCAAGATGTTTAGCAACATCCAACATCCCTGGGCTACACCCACCAGATATCAATAGTGCTCCCCTCTCCTAGTGTGAGAACAAAAATGTTTACAGACATTGGCAAATATCCCCTGTGAGGCAAAATCACTCCTGGTGGATATTGCTGTAAGCATAGGGTTTCTCTCTTTCATCAGGGACAAAGTGTAGAAGGACAGATTTCCTCCACAGAAGCTTCATAAGTTTAAATAGGCCATAAATATCCTTGAGCTCTCTTAGCAGTCCTTCAAGTTTCTGTCACCCTTGTGTGTGTGTGAGTAGATTATATATATATATGTACATGTTTTGAGAATTTACACATTTCACTTTTGGGACTAACAGGTTCCCATAGGTTTGTTAGCCTTGGTATGAGAGAGTCTGCTTTTCTACTTATGTTAAACTTACCATCTTCAAAGTTTAAAAGACTCTCCCTGTTGTGTATTTCAGGATTTGGTGAACAAGATTAATGTAGTCTGACTTTTTCCAAGATTATAGACTTGCACCATATATGCTGTCTACAGTGGACATCTTTTATTCCTCTCATAGTGACCACCCCATTCCCTAAATTGTTTCCGTTGTTTCTAAAGTTTTGTCATCTCCCTATGTCTTCTCCAAAACTCAGGACCAGTGGTGGAAGGCACTGTAGGAGCAGTGGGCACACTCCCAGGGGCTGAGCCTGGATGGATAGGGTCAGGAAGGAGGATGGACTTGGAAGGTCACACCAGAGGCACCAGATGATGTGACAGATGAAAAGGCACATTAAAAAGTAATACGTACGTTACAAATGCAACTCCTTTTGTGATAATTATTGTATCGAATTGGGCATTTCTGAGCTTACCCTGTTGTTCTCCAAAGCAGTTGGCTAAGGCTGTTCTTATTTTTTCTTTAACCTTCCTGCCACCCTCAGATCGAATTTATTTGCTACACTAGTGCCAGGTTAATAATCCTAGAACACAACCATGATCATCTCACTTCCTCCTCAAAAACCATCACTGTCTCTCCACTGCCTGCAAAGTCCCACATCCTGAGCCTGGCATTGCAGTTGTCTACAGTCTTTCCTCAGCCTGACCTCCCTCTGTGTCCTTACAAACACGCTGTGCTCCAGACAGACTGGACTTTGACATGACATATAAAAAATGTTTTCACATTTTCCCCTTTACACCTTTCAAACCATTTATGGTGCTAGTATGATTCCCTCCTCAATCCCAGAGCTCTCTATTTTGAGGCAGAAAACAAGAGGCCCAGAATCAATTAGCATCAGTTTCCTGCCTTCACTTTCCTATGGCACTAAGTCAAGTCAGATTGGCAAAGCCTTTATAGCTGGTCCCAGCCTGACTCTCTGCCCAAACCTACTTACTAAATCCTCTGGAAATGAGGGCAGTCCCACTCCGGGTTGGCCTCATGAAGACATCTCAGTCCCATCAAACCTCCCCTTGGCTTTGAGACTAATCCACGCTGGCCGTGTATACAGTTTTTCTCTAGAATCCGTGTGTGTTTATCCCCTGAAGTTCTATCATGTCCTTGGATTATCACCACACCATTGATGCTGCTTCTGTCTCAAAGGACACTTTGGACTCTGCCTGTCCTTGCCATCGCCTGTCTGGGCAGTAGTCTGCTTAACTCTAAGCCCCAAAGTCCTCCCTTCCCTCCTTGACTAAGTTTCTCAGATTTGTACAGTTTGGTGGCAACAATGCTTCCTACTCAGTTGCTAAGACAGGAGTGACCCTTTGGTGTGGTCTCTGAGATTCTCTAGGGACCTCACAGCCTGGATGGCCTCCTGGGAGCTTGCCTGGCCTTACACTGAGCTGCAAACCATGAGAGGAAAGCTATTTAGCCCCTCCAATTAAAGAGATTGCCTCTAAGTCCCCTACAGAGTTCCTCTTTCCTCGTGTCTGAGGGTCTCCTCTGGGTCATGTGTCTTTTGCAGAAGACTAGCAGTGAATTGCCATGGGATTGATAACAGAGCCCTCTGGGCTCAGTGGCCAGCTCTGTCCTTTTCCTTGGTCTGTCTCTGATTATTTACAAACATATGACTTTCTAGCCCCGTCAGGGAGGTTGTCTTTTGGAATGAGAGCTATATAAACAAAAAAGATTAAGAACTTAGTAATGGAGTTAATTTTCACCAAGAACAGAGGCAATCCATTTCCTCATGAAACTTTCCAGAGAGCAGGAGATGCAGCTCTCTGAGAAAGGAAGGAAATAGTTCCGGGGAGGGGCTGCTGTTTTCTGGGCCACTTTGCATGAGACGGGAAAGTGAAAGCAGAACCGACGCAACCTCATGGAAGGCTATTTCTGCTGTAAGCACCTACTTCTCCATAGAGAACACTCTCCATGCCCTCGTGGGCCAATGGGCAGTGTGAACTAAGAGTGTTCATTTGTGTCTGGCAGAATATTTCTCAAGAAGGGTCTGGTAGCCGGGCAAGCCACATAGTTGGAGACACTGTTTGAGTGGAAGTAGACCAGTTTTTTCTAGTTGCTTGTTTTCATAAAGCAAGAACCACATATAGGTAAAAAGCAATTTTAAAAACTGATTTTTGGTTTTGAGAAAAGTCAAACGTGTAAAACATTTGTGATTGCATAATAAAGCTGCACGTCTAAGAATATAAATATTTTATAATAGATTAGCTATTACACAAAAACATTGAAATATCTTTTAATTTTTCATTTTGATCAGATGAAGAGAGCCAAAGAAGGAAAGTGAGTGTACAGAAATGGAAAAAGAAGTGGATTAATGTAGAGAAAGAAGAGATATCTAGAAGAATAAAATTGTGGCCCTGAGGAGAGAGGAGGTGGAATGGTTAGATTTTGCTCTCCATTAATAGAAGACCAGGTTGCTGTATTCAAAAGGTCTGAGAAGAAGAAAAGATGTGACAGCTACTAAGCACCTAGTAGATGCCAAGGATTGTTCTTTGCTATGTTAGGTATAATTAGATGACTAAGAATTGAAGCTATACAAATGAATGTTTGATCAAGGAGACATTGTTAGCTGGGGACAGATCCCTAGAGGCACTCTGCATTTAGAGATTCCCAGAGGAGCAGAAGCCCCAGAATGAATGATCTGAATGGTGTCAGGAAAATCAGAGGAGTGTGATGTCTTGAAATCTGAATAAGGAGAGATTTCAAGAAAGTGGAATGATCTACTGTGATGAAAGCAGCAGAAAACTCCACAAAGTTAAAGATTTGGTGACCTTGGCAATCAATTTCTGTCCCACTGAGGTCATGGACAAGGAAGTCAGACTGCAGTGGGGCTGAGAATGAGTGGGAGGGGAGAAAGAGGAAACACAGAAGTGTAACATTTTCTTTAAGGAACATGGGAAGAGTAAAGAAGAGAGATGAGGGTGGAAGCTAGGGAGATGAGAAGAGCATTAGGGACAAGGAAGATTTGAGCCTAAATTCTAAACTGAAGGGAAGGATCTGGCAGCAGGGGGCTGATTAGAGTTAACAGAGAGATAGAAGGGAGGACAGCTGAGACAAGCTCCCAGTGGAGGCAGGAGTGAAGGTCTCGAGCGCATAACTGGAGGTCAGGGTTAGCCTGGAGCAGGAAGAGCCCCAGCCTCTGAGACTTCAGGAAGAAGAAGAAAGAGAAACCAGGGTCTCCAAATGGTCAGAATGTCGCTGATGAAGGGTGTGCCTGACCAATTTTCTTGATGAAGTAAGAGCCAAGGAATTCCTGCTGCTATGTAGAACTGAATGTGGAGTGAGAGGAGAGTGAGAAGGTTTGGAACTTTCACAAGGAGACTCGGGTAATTAACTAATTGATCAGTCAATCAATTAAATGGTTTGCTGCCACTTTTCTCTTTCTATCAATTCAAGTCAATCCTGCTTTCACCGGGCTCCAAGGCAAAAACTGTGCCTGCTTGCCATTAATCATAGATAAGGCACAACCCTATTACTTAGCAGGACATCTGCGGCTTTCACAATTTGACACCAGCCTGTTTCCTAAGCCTCGTCTCCTCCGGCTCCTCATTTACTTGGCCATGCAGCAGTCCCCTGCCCACCATATACTTTGAGGCCTCTGTGCCTTTGCCCAGGCCATCTTCTCTCCTTGCAAGGCTCTCATCCTCTTCTCCGCATCAGTAGACTTGTATTTATCCTCCAAGGCACAGTTCAAATGTCATCTTCTCTCTAGCTTCTCCTACCTAGGGCAGAATTAAGAATTCCCTTTTGTGTATTACACAACAATTTATTTATTGTTGTTATAGCAAACATGGGAAATTGCTATTTCAAATACATAGTGTCAGAAGCTGCTTTCATATTCTGGAGATGTAATTAATCTCAAGGAGGAAATTGACTTTTGATTTAGAAAAACACGTTAATGCGCCATTTCATTATAAATGAAATACCCAAAGCTTGTATAGACAGAAGTTACATGTTTCTGTGAAGCATATGGAGATATATGTTATTATAAAAACATTAATTTACTAGAGGTCTTAATGTTTTCCTTTTGCACTTCTTTAGATGTGACCTTATGCCTATTCACCCAGGGGAAAATTTGGATTTTTATCACAGAAGACCAAAAGCAAACAATATTCCAAAACAGAATATTGACAGCTATATCAAAGTCATAGTCTTAAAAATTAGACATTGGTAAGAGAAAAGGGAGTTTCTAAATTTACAAAAGTCTAGGTCCTTAGAGCTCTCTGCTGGGGATTCATTCTAGACTGAGATCACCTCTTTTGGGAGGTGGGCACTCACTGGCCACTTCTGTGTTCCCGAGATCTTAGAAACACCAGAACCCTCTCCTCTCAACCCTCTGCTACCTCCACATGGCACTAGAGCCCACAGGATCTACCTTGGATCTACAGCTTGGATCTACCCACACACATTCTAGAGTCTCACGGGATCTTCTAGGGATATCCCTGGTCTGATAAAGAGACACTGCCTGTGGATATTTTCCTTTGCTATCCCAGTTGCACTCTCTGTTTTTGTGAGGACACTTGGGAAGATGAAAAACACTCTGTCACCATTGTCATCTTCTCCCTGTATCACCAACATCTGACAAATCGAATATTACTTATAAGCTACTATGAAAACAAAAGGAAAGGCAAATTAACCAACATTTTCAGAAGTCTTCAAAAGTTGTAAAAACCATTAAATTCAATATAAAAGGACAAAACTTTAAAGTCAAGTTTTTGGCAAATTGATAAAATTGGAGAATTGATGATTTGATGTATTAATTTCTGATTAGTTGATGGGTTGATTTTAGTGAGTTGACGTGCAGTAAATTGGTGTTCAGGATGGTCATGGAGAGGCTTGAACTGGCCTGGAGCCAGGGGCCACAGCCCAGAACACACGGGCCCAGGATCAGGCTGCAGCCTCGCCAAACTGGAAGGATGTGAGTAGTAGCAGAGCCACGCTGGGGCCACCAGCAGGCAAGGTGGCTGAGCCCCACTGCCTTCGTCAGGGATAATCGATCGCAGATTAGACCAGCCACGGAAATGTTGGCGAGCAATGGGGACAGGCCAAGGAACTGGGGGCAGAGAACCATCAGAAAAGAGAAAAAATGCCACCTAGACCCAGCTTCCCACAGCCAGCACGCTCTGTAAGTTCATCCTCTGCCCCAGGATGTCATTCCCAAAAGGGGGAGGGAGAGGGGGAAGAGAAGAAACCGTGAAAGATTGTGCCTTTCCCAGAAGACATTTGAAGTTTTTCAAAAATACCTCTTTTAAACAGGAAGGGCTGTATCTATGCCTTTCGATGGCCAATTTTGGGGTTTTCCTACCATCATTTGGAATTGTTGCTCCAGAGTGTAATGAGACCAGTTATATATTTTTAAAGTTACTTTTTTTAATGTATAAATTTCAAACTATCTGCAGATATAAAGGAAGAGTGATTTTAGCTTAGAATTTCCCAGGAGACAGAGGTTGGAACTCTGGCATTTAGAGAAGTCAGGAGACGGGAGGGGAAAGTTCTAAGGGAAGTGAGCAGTTCCCAGCCAAAGGGCAGAAGTCCAGAGTTTGAAAAGTGATGGCCAGCAAGAAATCTGCTGTGCTGGGGAGCTGCCCCCAAATGACCACAACAGTCTGCCCAGGGCAGGAGGCTGGTGCAGGAGATGCCATCAACTCCATACGTAAGCACACATTTGCATCACTTCTCTGTCCAGGAATTATCAGACATTCTGGTGACAGCAGTGAGCCATTTGAATTCCTGCAATTAGACAGGCACTTGAAACTGCTTAATTACTAGGGAAAGGATTGCCCCAGAAAGTTGCAGGCCACATGAACATTTATATTGCACATTAATGGACCTTCTCTTTTTTCCACCACGTATTTAGTTCTGTGTACAGACTTCCAAGACAGCCATTCTTGTTGGCAGGAACCATAATTGTGGTCCCAAAGCCTAGCACGGCACTTAAAGCAAAATAGATTAAAACAGAGCGATGCACCAGCAAACAGTCAGATCTAAGGTCCAGAATGGAAAAATTCAATGGTAAGGTCGCCCTCTGGTGGAATATCTAGGTAGTAACAGGAAAGGACTTGAAGACTCTGGCAAGCTGGCTACTTAAATGTAAAAATCTCAGAAAAGGAGCCAGTGGCCAACTGGTAGCCAACCAAGAGCACCCAGAGCAGCGCTGTCCAGTAGAAATATAATGGGAGCCTCTTAATTCAATTTCAAATTTTCTAGTAGCTACATTTAAAAAGCAATAAGAAACAGGTGAGATTAATCTAATACATATTTTAAACCGCAAATATACAAAAAATTGCAAACTGAACATTAATTAATATAGAAATTACTGAGATTATGTATATACATTTAATTAAGTCTTCAAATCCCAGGGCATTTTATACTTAGAGTTTTTTTTGGCTTAATAGCTACAGGTGGCTGGCGGCTACTGCACAGGACAGCACAGTCCTTGAGGAAGGGGATCATGTCCTGCTCTTCTGTGCTCCCAGAGCAGCACACAGTGCCTAAGTCACATCAGGTGTCCTATAAACATGTATTTAATGAAGAATATCCCCCAACACCTACCTGAACTTGTCATGCTCCAAAGAACATGACAGATACAACTTTACCTCAAAGTCAGCATTTTAGACAATTTAGAACAACTGGATTTGTGTCATTTTTAAAGGACACTTTAGTAAGTTTTTGTCGAATCTGTGTTTGCCTCATTATTAGACTCTAGTCCCAATAACAGTACCTCTCCCTAGAGTCAGGGTTATCCACTTTATTCACTTTTATTTGTTATCATTGACTTATTTATTTAATAACGTGCTAGCGTTTAGGGGGAAAAGGAAGATTGTGTAACAAAGATTCAATCATCCATGATCCCTTCTTACAGGCCCTTTCCATCTAGGAGGGAATGTGGACCATACATATACATTCCAAGAAAACAAATAATGAGGAAGCCCTGGTGAGACTGAAAGGTGTTCTGAACTGGGTTGCTTGCTGGCTGTGGCTATGAGAAGGTTCCTGGAACCTTCTGCTCTTGCCTCCCCGGTGTTGGCCTTGAGCAATCACTGCCTGCTCCCTGCTGCAAAAAATAATGGCAAGATCCTGATTGCCTGTCCAGCTGTTGAAGGGTGGGTGAGAAAATCCAAGCTGAAATCCTGCTGGAGTGGGAGGAGCTGGGGACTGCCCTAGTCATTGCCTCCTCTGCCACCCCAGCTATCAGTGCTCCCTACGCCTCCTAGTGCTCCCACCCTGAAGTCCTGACCTGAAGTGACACCCAAAGGGTAGTGACTATGGTTTTGCGCTGGCCTAGGACTCCAGCTGGCCCTCCTTTCTCTTTACACACATGACACCAACACAGATGGCCACTAGTGGGTCAAAATAATACCTTTAGGGAGTGCCGACACCTCAAAAGAAAAACAGCAAACAGGACCATCTATGTCCTTGAAAGAAGTGGTAGAAAATATAGACCAGCCGCTTAAAATGAGCATTAAAAGTGCACTTTAAAAGTCAGAAGCTATTATAATATGAAAAAATAGAGAATATAGGGAAAAAACCTAGACGTTCTAGGTGTAAAAATATATATATAATAGTCAAAGTAAAAGCCACATTAATGGGATAAATAGTGGGAGAGATGCAACTGAAAAACAAAACAGAAAGATGGAGGACTACACTGAGGAGCTAGTTCAGAACAAAAGAGGGAAGAATTGAGAAGTCATCAATAGAAAAGTCAGGGGAAAAGGAGGAGAGAATTATCCAAATATAGATTATATGAGTTTCACAAAGACAAAAAATAGAGAGAGGAGAAAAATAGTTAAAGAAATAAAAAGATGAATTCCCAGAATTAAAAGATAGAGAAGATCCATAATGTCTTACAGAGAGAAGGAAAAACCCACTCTAGACACACTAGCAAAATTTAAAAATATCAAAGACAATGAGAAAATTCTAGAAGATTCCAGCATGAAAGACTGACATGGGATTTTCTAACTGTGACATTGGATGCAAAAAAAAAATTTGGAATGATGTTATTTAGAATATTAAAGGGAAAACACTTCAAATAGTATGTAATACACAGCTAAACTTTATTCAAAAGTACTGGCATAATTTTAAAAAATTATCAAGCATACAAGACTTTAGAAGGTTTGCTATGCAAATTCCCACATCTGAAAGGTCTTGGAAGAAGAATTCTAATCAGAGAACGCATTCTAGAAGGTGCCAAAAGATATGAAAAGTAATGTTGACCAAATAATTTGGTGAAGGAGAAAATATGTGAATAAATTTGAAAGCATGCTAAAGTTCTTATCCAGTCAGAGGGAAGATGGAGAAGGTATCGGTAACACTTAAAAAAAAAAAAAGGCAATGAAGATTAAAAAAGAAAACTTGGCCGGGTGTGATGGCTCACGCCTGTAATCCTAGCAGTTTGTGAGGCCAAGCCGGGCAGATTGCCTGAGCTCAGGAGAATAAGCCTGGGCAACATGGTGAAACCCCATCTCTACTAAAATACAAAAAAAAAAAAAAAAAATAGCCAAGCATGGTGGCATGCACCTGTAGTCCCAGCTACTCGGGAAGCTGAGGCAGGAGAATCGCTTGAACCCGGGAAGCAGAGGTTGCAGTGAGCCAGCCCAGATCATGCCACTACACTCCAGCGTGGCAACAGAGCGAGACTCCGTCTCAAAAACAAACAAACAAACAAACAAACTTTAAAAAATAGAAATATTGAAATAAATAAGGTATTACAAACAAGCCCAAGTGCATCAATATTCACAATAAACACAATCAGAATGCAGCAAAGACAGTGCCATGTGCTCACCAAACCATTATATCTTCCTGCACACATAGGTAACGTACATTTTTCCATCCCCGTGCGCCTATGTGGGGTCATTGTTTACTTCTTGCCAATGGAATGTGAGCAGAGATGGCAAATAGTTTCTGGTCCAAAACCATGGAAACAATGTGCCTTTCCCAGGTTCTCTCTCCTACCTGCAAAGCTAGGAGTTCATGAAGTGGTTTTCAATAATAGAGATGCAAAGCGGAGCTTAGCCACCTTGAGGCATGTTTTGGAAAAGAGCTACAGAGTGCCCAACCTGCCTTGAACTACACGTGGCTAAAAAATAAACCTGTGTTTTGTTAAACCACTGAGGCTTCAGTGTTTGTCTCTTGCAGAAACGAGTTTGCTCACTTTGACTACCATATGAATTGAACATAGGTTAGAAGACAGAGATCGTCAGATTGAATCAGAAGCAAAAATCTATATTTATGACATTTCAAGGGCTACATCTAAAGCATAAGTACAAAGGAAGAGTAAAAACAAAAGAGTAGAAAAAGATACAGTGAACAAATACCCAAAGACAGCTGTAGAACTTATTACTATCAGACAAGACAGAGTAGGACAGAAAGATTCTCAGGACAAATTGGGAAAAGGCTCAGTTCACCAAGACTGTAATAATTCCCAAGAGTAAACACCTTAATAACCTAAATGCAGAGAGGGCAAAAGTTGATTTAAAAATTAGAAACAAGTTGAAAAACCTACAGTCACAGTTAGAGATTTAAATATACCATTCATAGGCCAGGAATTGTGGGGCATGCCTATAGTCCCAGCTACTCTGGGAGGCTGAGGCAGGAGGATCGCTTAAGCCCAGCTGTTTGAGGCTGCAGCGAGCCATGATTACTTCACTGCCCTCCAGCCTGAGCAACAGAGCAAGGCCCTGTCTCTAAAAAATAAATAAATAAATGCACCACTCTTAGTTATGTATAGGCCAGTCCAAAGATAAAGAAAACCGTAATAAATTAGAATGACAAAATCCACATGCTTGATCCAATAAACATGTACATGTATAAAATTCTGCATCACATTTATTAGAGCCCATGTGAAATATTTACAGAAGTTCACCACACTCCAAGCCATAGAGGATTATCATGTAATTAAATTATAAGTTAATAACAAAAAACATACTTTAAAAAATCTATGTATGTTTTCAAATAAAAAAAACACCCGATACTCGACTGTTATTAACCAAAGAAGCAACATTCTTTATCATGAGTTTTTCATGGCTTTCCCGTCTTTCATCTCATGGCTCCAGCTCCCACCTCACTTGGGGGGAGGTGAAGGTGGCAAGGGTCCTAACCAGGGCAGGACCAAAGCAGTGAAGACACTGTTCATTCATGCGCAGGTGTCTCCTAGGCGCCTATGATGTGCTAGGCATTACGTAGACACTGTGGACTAGAAACGAAAAAACTAAGATTAGGGCTCCCCATAAACCGGGCCATGCAAATCAATTACTAGCTGTCATTTGATTAATTTGAAGTCAGAAGCTGTGTCTGCCCCACTTAAAATAGGCATCCCTTATTCATTGAGGAAAGAGCATTGGAGCAGGTTTTACCAGTCCACAGACTACCCGAGAACCACCTGGGGAGCATGCTGAAAACACAGGTTCCCTGGCCCTGCCTTGGAAAGGCTAATCTAACCCATTAAGTAAAGAGGAAACTCAGGAACACGTATTATAACGAACCCCCCAGGTGATTCTCATTTGGAACCAGAGACCCGCATGATTTCCTAGCTCCTTCCAAGTTGAAAATCATCGATTTCATGGTCTTTGACGCATGGCCTAATTTGGTTAGATTTCTCTTTACACAGACGTTAGCTTTACGTTGTTGTTGTTTTGTTTTGTTTTGTTTTTTAAATATATATACTGGACTAAATTCTCCCAGTGCCTCTTATTAGCCGAGCCCAACCAGAAGCCAAAGGCAAGGGTGATGCCGTCCTCCAGCCTGTGTCAGCCTGGAGGAGGTGCCCGGGTCCTGGAGGGACCAACAGAGAGGACCAGCACCTCTGCCCTCCTCGGGGAGTCCACGGGAGCTCTTTACACTTTGCTTTAGACCAAACAACTCCAACAATTACACATTTTTTCTTACACAATGAAATTAAATAATAATAAAAGAAAAATAAAATAACATTTTTGAAAGTGATTTAAAGTTTTAAGAGGTTTTTATTCCATTGTGTAGCCAATGTTTTCCTTTTAAAGATTATTGGTAAAGTTTATTTTACTTTCTAACTCAAAATTTGTCCACGGAAACTTCTTGGGAAAGTAGGATTCCCTGCATCGCAGATGGACATAGAGAGAGGATTTGTTGGAGCTCAGCTGCGCGGTGCTCTGACGGCCTTTTCTCTCTCTTCAGGGGGTCCCTTCTTGGAGGACGTGGTAATAGTTGGTCCAAGCCCCTCCCATCCTCCAAAACTTCCTTTGGCCTCTCCTGGGGGCCCAGTGAATCCTTCCACCTTCTCACCCCGGCTCTTTCCCTCTTTACCCAGCAACAGATACATTCACTCAGAGAATTTCTGTGATTGGCTGAAGACAGCAGGGGTCGCCCCCATCCTCGAATCTGTTTTCTTCTTCTTTACCTCCGCCTTGTTCCTGTCCTCACCACACGGACTGAGACTGATTTGATTAAAGCACCAGAGTGTAATGGCCCTCAGAGCAGGGCTGGTCCTGGGGTTCCACACCCTGATGACCCTCCTGAGCCCGCAGGAGGCAGGGGCCACCAAGGGTGAGTGCGAGGGCGAGGAGGGTGCGGCGGGGAGCAGAGATTTACGGAGTTGGGTTACATGAGGAGGTGGCATGGAGGATGCTTGTTCCTCTCGCTCTCTGGTTTATGGGCAACTTCCTTCACCAAGAGACACCCAATCCCCCTCATCTCTGTCACATCCACTCTGGACCTAAATGAAGATGCAGCTCGGTCAGCTGCGCAGGTGCCCCAGTCAGCCTTTGCTGACGTTCAGATTTCTCCTCATTCCTTCCTCCTTCCTGAGACCCAAACCTCCACCCAACAGATGCCAGCAAGCACCCTGATTTCTCTACCACCCCTGGCCGGGAATGTGCCCGATCAAGTCCAGTTCTGTTGCAGTATTTATGCCCATGCCGGTAGTTAACTATTTACCTGTCTTTGTTCTTCGGGAGACATGAGCTGGGGTGCGGGTCTACAGATGGTTCATCTTTTTTTTCTTTTATTTCCCTGGCCCACCATTGTGCTGGGTGCATGCTAGTTCCTCAATAACTGTTGCTCAAACAACTTCATAGAGTTCTACAAGAATTAAAACTTAATCCCTAACTTCCAGAAAACTAGACAACAGTTATGGAAGAGCCACACTCAGTCATAATGCTCTGAGATGGAGGAATTGGGACATGAACCTTGACTTCTGACTCCTCGTCCAGTGCTCTTTGTAATGCCTTGAGTTGCCTCTCCCTATCCCCTTGGTCTCTGGGTCACTAACCTTAATTCTTACCCCTGCCAGCCGTGGCCTGTTTCCCCTCACACCCACCTGCACTGCATCTCTGTGCAAAGCTCCATACTCTCCTGTCCTTAATCATTCCTCCTCATCCCACCCCCACAGTCCCACCAGCTCACAACACAGGGCCTGACAACACAGCCAGGGCAGATGACCACAGCCAAGATTTAAATTCTGGAACCCCAAGCATGATTTTAGGCAGTCCCTCCTCTTCCCATCCTGATATGCCAGACTGCACTGTCTCTGTGCCGACTGCAGTGTGCTGGGATGAGCCTCTTTCTTCCTGTTCTCTCTCCCTTTCTCTCTCCCAGGGCCAGCCCAGTGTCAGAACAGGACTCTGTCCCCACACAGAACCCAGGACGGGGCCCAGGCTCAGGGACTCAACAATCACATATTGTGGATGAGACAGACACATTTTTTTCTCTCTCCTTGACCCTGAACTCGCCAAACACAGCTGACCACATGGGCTCCTACGGACCCGCCTTCTACCAGTCTTACGGCGCCTCGGGCCAGTTCACCCATGAATTTGATGAGGAACAGCTGTTCTCTGTGGACCTGAAGAAAAGCGAGGCCGTGTGGCGTCTGCCTGAGTTTGGTGACTTTGCCCGCTTTGACCCGCAGGGCGGGCTGGCCGGCATCGCCGCAATCAAAGCCCATCTGGACATCCTGGTGGAGCGCTCCAACCGCAGCAGAGCCATCAACGGTACCGGCCCTCCCTCTGCCCACCCAGTCAGGCGGGAAGGTCCAGAGAAACTTCCTCCCAGTTCCTAGGCTCCCATCACTCTGGGGCGCGGTCTCAGCGCCCGCGCCTGTCATGCCCTGTTCCTTTCTTTCCCAGGAGGCTCCAGGTCTTCCCAGACCCCTTTGGCACCCCTCTCCTTGAGGAATGACACCTCTCACCCGGACTCCCGCCCGGGGACCAGTCAAATATAGGAGCTCCTGGCGTCCCCACTCCCTCCCCAGTCTCCTCTCCCTCTGTTTCCCTCCTCTCCTGCCCCAGTGGATACCCCAGAGCATCCCCTGCCCACAGATGGCTACAAAGGGGGAACGTCCCTTAATCCCAGTCCTAGTAAGGCCCTGGGGTGAGGGATGAGCCTGTGGACTCAGGGCCCGTTCCTCCTAGTGCCTCCACGGGTGACCGTGCTCCCCAAGTCTCGGGTGGAGCTGGGCCAGCCCAACATCCTCATCTGCATCGTGGACAACATCTTCCCCCCTGTGATCAATATCACCTGGCTACGCAACGGCCAAACTGTCACTGAGGGAGTGGCCCAGACCAGCTTCTATTCCCAGCCTGACCATTTGTTCCGCAAGTTCCACTACCTGCCCTTCGTGCCCTCAGCCGAGGACGTCTATGACTGCCAGGTGGAGCACTGGGGCCTGGATGCGCCACTCCTCAGGCATTGGGGTACGGAGCCCCCTCCCCATGCACCCTCCTGGCCCCAGGTTTCCTTTACTCTAGAATCCTTTCATATACCACCGACTCCTTCCTTTCTCTCCTAGAGCTCCAGGTGCCTATTCCACCACCAGATGCCATGGAGACCCTGGTCTGTGCCCTGGGCCTGGCCATCGGCCTGGTGGGCTTCCTCGTGGGCACCGTCCTCATCATCATGGGCACATATGTGTCCAGTGTCCCCAGGTGCAGAGGCCCCAGGAGTCTGGGGGGTGGGGGAGGAAAGTGGATGACTCTGAACAGGACGTGGGTGGAGAATCAGAGATTCTGTTGTGGGGAAAGAAGTCAGAAAAGAAATGGGCAGGGAGAAAAGAAGCAGAGGTGGGGTGAGAGAGTGAGGTTTTGGGGGAGGTGGGCACTCAGAGATAGGATCCCAGCATATTGAAATTGAGCAACCTCGATCGTATGTTTTCTGCTATTTTAGGTAATGATCCTTCTGAGAGAAATGACTTGTGGGAGACACCCTGCAGATCCTCATGGGTTTGTGACAGCCCCTGCGTGCTCAGTGCCCTTTAAGTGCATCCCGCTGTGCTGACTTTGAGTGGGATCAACATCTGTCCTACGGGTCCCCTCTTTTTTGGCCCCAGTATTCATGGCAGGGTTTGTTGGACACCTACTAGCTTCCCTTCCCATTCAACACAAACACACATTCTTGCTCTACCCAAAGCTCTGGCTGGCAGCACTAAATGCTTTGGTGGTGTTTGCACTGTGTCCTTTCCAGGCCTTGGCCAGTTCTTCCAGGGGTGAGGCATGTGGTGCTGGGGATTGGCAGCCGTCCTGGGGCCCACACAGGTGTGTCTTGCTCCATTTGGCCCATTGTGTGTTACTTTGTGAATGAGCCATTTCACATGGACTTCATGAAATTTGCCTCCTGAGTTCAGGTTTACCCTGAAAGGGATGCAGATTATCCTGTTCCTCACGACCCCCTCAGCTAACAACAGTTCTGAAGGGTGCTGGGACAAGACAGGCTCATGGGGACTCCACTCCTGCCTGGGTTTACTCTGTATGAAGAGGCCACTGGTATCCTGCCATGATGTTATCTCCTTTTTCTACTTTCCCTAGAGTCCCATGCATGATAAAGAGAGGCCCAAGGCTTGGATAAGGTGGCCACTTCCCTCAGTGGAGTCAGTCATGTTAGGTAGGAGGTGGTAGAGTCGGTCTGCAAGGTATCTCGTAAGAGGGGAGGTCCACCTAGACACATTCTAAATATGTGGCCTAGAAGATTTTGGTCTACTTTTCTGTGAACAAAATTTAAAACATACAAAGAGATAAATCACCATACCACATAGTTTATGTCAAGACCAAAATGAGCAATACAGATTACGGTTTTCAAACCAGAATGCACATAAGAACTGCTTGGGATCCTTTTAAAAGTACAGGCATTGGCCTGGTGCAGTGGCTCATTCCTGTAATCCCAGCACTTTGGGAGGCCAAGGGGACAGAACTGCTTGAGGCCAAGAGGTGGAAACCATCTTGGGCTACATAGAGAGACCCCATCTCTACAAAGAAAGATTTAAAAATTAACCAGCCATGGTGGCTCGCACCTGTATTCCCAGCCACTGGGGAGGCTGAGGCCGGAGGAGTGCTTGAGCCCAGGAGTTCAAGGCTGCAGTGAGCCAAGATTGCGCCACTGCACTCCAGCCTAGGTGACAGAGTGAGACCCTGTCTCTAAATAAATAAATAAATAAAATATAAAAATAACAGTCATCACCCAGACCTACTGAATTAGAATCTCGGGAGTGCAGGGGGCAGCAACAGGGGGGCTGTCTTTTCTGAGAAGGGGTCTCACTCTGTCACCAGGCTGGAGTGCCATGGCATGATCTCAGCTCACTGCAACCTCCACCTCCTGAGTTCAAGCCATTCTCCTGCCTCAGCCTCCTGAGTAGCTGGGACTACAGGTGTGCGCCACTACACTCAGCTAATTTTTGTATTTTAAGTAGAGACGGGGTTTCATCATGTTGGCCAGGATGGCCTCCATCTCTTGACCTCGTGATCCACCCACCTTCCCTCCCAAAGTACTGGAATTACAGGCATTAGCCACTGTGCCCAGCCGAGGCTGTCATTTTTAACCGGCTCTGGATGACTCTGATGCAGCCATCCTGGACCTTGGCTGTGGTCTGGTAACTGGAACCCAGTGACGTAATCAGGTGCCATCGGGGGTCATGGGAAAGGGGGATCCCCAAGGTCTGAGGTGGACTAGGAAGGCTTTCTGAAGAACCTGGGTCTGTTAGGGCATCAGCCAATCAAGGTACAAGTAAATAGAGGCAAAATGAGGGTTTGAACTGTGAGCAGTTGGTCCTGGAAAAGAAAGAAACCAAGAGATTATGGGGACTCAATGGGCTTCTTAAGAGGGAATAAGTTGAAATCAATGACCAGAAGACCCTGATGGAAGTGGAGGAAAATCATCTCAGGCAAACTTTTTGTGTGCCAGTAACAGAAACCCTCTTTGTGTGATCACATGCAAAGTATAGGATATTTGCAATATAGCCATGGGGAGGAGTGCAGGGCCCAAGGGTAGATTTTAGCCAGGCCTCCCAGGAACAGAACTCGGATCCGAAAAGCCCAGAGAAGCTAGAGCTGCCCCTCCAACACTCTCGGATCCACATGGTCTGTGTTCTCTAGACCCCCCTGCATGTTAGCGGTGTTCTCTCTCTGTGGACTGACTGTCCTTCTCAGTGAACATGTCCACCCGACAGCTCCTGAGTTTATATCATCTCAACCCTCACAACCCACAGAGGCTGTGTCTCCTAGTCACAGCTTTAAATTACTGGAAAAATAAATGACTGGCCAAACTTGGAGCAGGTGTCCATCCCAGCCCTGTGTAGTTAGAGCAGGAATCAAGATCTCAACACAAATGTGGCTGCCAAGCACTCAGCCCCGGGGCGAGGGGTCAAGTTCTTCTCAGAGAAAGAGGAATAAGTTGGTTCTCAGAAGACATCACAAGATACGTGTGTACCCAACAATCTCTGATCTCTGCTGATCTTTTGCTTAGACGTTAACTTGATGCATCATTGGAAAGGTGTTTCTCTCATCTCTGTCCTAAGGCTTGATAAAGTCATTAAAATTGTGTTCTTTTGACTAAAGAAATATGCTTTTTTTTTACTGTTGCATATACTACCCTGAAGTCACTGGAACTTCTAGGAGTAATTCCAGAGCTTTTAGATTTATGCACCTGCGTGTATACTCACATTTGTTTCTAGTCTCAAGGTACGTAGTCTTTTATTTTAAAAAACAAGTTGTCCTCCTGCATTCTTGATCTTTCACTCTCTTTTAGAACAGACATCCAGTAGTCTCCTGTCCTTTGTATCCAAACTCTCCCTTTTTGCAGGGTCATCCTACAAATCATAAGCATGTCATCTCTCCTATATAACAAGAACATCAAATCCTCTGTCTGTCCTTGACCCAGTCTCCCTTCCACCCAAGCTCCTGGTCACGCTCTCTGAGAGTGTCTACGTGGACTGCCTCCAGATCCCCTCTTCCCATCCACTCTCTTTCGGTTTTAATTTTTAACCAAATTATGTTATAGTTTAAAGAGTCAAATATTTCTACAATATTTGCTACAGAAATACCAGTTTCCAGCCCCATCTCCCACCATATCCTCACCCTTACAGAAAATAACTTTCAATTGTTCTAATATGTTTTGTTGGTATTAACCTCCCATCTCTAAATAACATGTTTGTGTTGCTACATCTAGATTTTTCAGCTTTAGGCTTTATCTCTTTACCTCCTGCTGTGGAAGAGGGGGATTTAGATTTTTTTCATCCTCAAAGAACATCATGCCCCCTTTCCCATGCCCTTTCTTTTAATGTGACTATATTGTAATTTTTACAATATAGTAAAAGTTACTGTGTTTACTATGTTTCTATCAATATGACCATGTAATGGCAAACCATAGAGCAAGCCATGCTCACTCTTCCTTTTCTAGACGACTTCGTTTTCTCTGGAGTATATAGTTGTCCTGTTTTCCTTTGTGTGGCTGTATTTGTACTTATTATTAATGAATCACAAAATTCCTCACAGTACAATCAAACACATCAGGTATTCTGTCAATTTTATCACCAGATATAACTCTCCCAGAACCTTCTGTCTGCTCCATTCTTAACTCCTTGCCCTTGATGATACAGCGGTCACTCTGAGATCACTCTTCGCCATCCTCGTCAGGATTTACCTATCCTCCGAGTTGGATCTTCTGCTTCTTGTATCCAGTCATTGCCCTTTTGTGGTCTGCCTTATTTTAATGAGGCACCTCTTCTTTCCACTTCCTGAGAAACAGTGCATATGAGGAAAACTTTTTATGCTTCGTATGTCGGAAAATATATTTATTCTACTCTCACACTTGAATAATAGCTTCCACGGTTATAAAATTCAAGATTGGAAATCATTTCCATCAGAATTTTTAAGGCATTTCTCTATAATCCCTTAGCTTCCTGCGTTATTGTTGATAATCCAAAAGATATTGTGTCATGAAACTTTGTACGTAATCGTTGTTGTTTTTTTCTCTCAGAAGCTTATAGGATATCTGCTTTTTCCCTTCCTCCTTTAAATTCTTATAGGTGCTCCATTACCTACAAGATGAAGACCCTTCTCAAACTGTCCTCAGGGTATTTCTTTTTCTTTTTTTCTTTTCTTTTTTTTTTTTTTTTGAGGTAGAGTCTCACTCTGTTACCCAAGCTGGAGTGCAGTGGTGCAATCTCAGCTCACTGCAACCTCTGTCTCCCAGGTTCAAGCAATTCTCCTGCCTCACCCTCCTGAGTAGCTGGAATTACAGGCACCCCCCCACCATGCCCGGCTAATTTTATTATTTTTAGTAGAGACCGGGTTTCACCATGTTGGCCAGGCTGGTCTCGAACTTCTGACCTCAGGTGCTCCGCCTGCCTTGGCCTCCCAAAGTGCTGGGATTACAGGCATGAGCCACCGCACCTGGCCTATTTTAACCATATAATAGCTCCTCCTGAAAATGATCAATGCTTAAGTCACAGAAAACTGTTGTCGCATGTTTACTCCTCCCTGCCTTTGCACAAACTATTCTCTGTGCTGGACCTGCCTTCCTCCACCAACCAGTCAAAATTCTACCTGTCCTTCCAGGGTCCAGATTAAATGTCACCTCTTCTGTGAAGCATTTTCAATCCCAGCCCCCAATATGCTGGCCACCCTGTCCCTGCAGTGCATACCACATTCCGCCCTGTGTCAGTTGACTGTGTATGAATTTGCCTTTGCCACTAACTGCTCCTCTAAAGCAAGAGAAGGCTGTGTCTTATAGTTCCAACACCCAGAACATAATGGGCATTGAAACACTGTAGAATTCTATTTAATTCAATTTTGTTTGCTTCAAATCCAGCCTGGTCCGACTGTCTGCAGCTGGTTTTAATAACATTGGCTACCGTTTACCCAACACATGCAATGTGCCTGGCCTTAATGCTTTTCACGTGTAGTGGATTTGAATCTTGGTCCAAAAGATTAATAAGATAGTGCACAGAGTGCAAAAAATAGTAAATGTCTTTAAATAATCGAAAATCTGATTCAAAACCTGCTCTTTAAAAAATCTTAAATCTGATTCAAAACCCCTGCCATGAGGCTGGTTTTAAGTTCAATCTGTCTTTATTGGGGCTTCTGGTCTCTTACAGTTGTTCCAAGGGTCTGCGCCCTGACACAGTGCTGAGGCCTTGGAGAAGCCCCTGTTGTCTTCTCCAGTCCAGACTGTTTACTCCAAGCATGCCTAGGGCTTAACCTGTATGCTCTTTTCCAAGTGGAAGCTCTGCTGCTTCTGCACTAGGCTTGGGGCAGGGGAATCTTTAGTGAGGAGTGATCCCCAGTGCCTGGGAGCAGGACTGCAAAGATGCACCATACGGCCAACTTCCCCGTCCCTGGGAGGCCTCCCCACCTGCCTTGGCTGCTGCAAGGAAGCAGGGCTCTTTCAGACCCACAGGCCACTGTGCCTTCCTCAGTTTGGGAGAACCTTCCCCCTTTGCCTGTCAAAGGCATTCCCCTCTCTCTCTCTGGCACAATGTCTGGGACACCTGGCATAATGTCAAGTGAGCTTCAGATTTTGGGAAATCCAAAGCCAGAAGAGGAAAGGCCTTGGCGGTGACATGTGCTATTGTCTTGTGTGACAAACCTAAATACAAACAAAGGAAAAAGAAAAGCATCATTCTGCCATACATGAATTATTTCATTTCTTCCTTATGACCAATCTGCAAGTTAAGTATAATGATTTCATTTTATAAAGAAGGAAGCTAGGATTCAAATTACCTAACTTGCCCAAGGTCAAACAGCTAGGAGGTGGTTGGAAGGTCTGTGTGATGCTAGAGCCCATGTTCTTTCCACTGCACTGTCCTACTCAGCAGCGAATGGAGACCAGCTTGTGAGACATGAGGCAGGATGAACAGGGTCAGACATCAGCATTACTAGGAAATGTGTAGGAGGAGGTATTCCCAACTTTGGGAACAAACTTCTTCTGAGGCTTCAGCAGCAACAGGCTGCAGGGAATGAGGTGAGCTTGAAGAATGACTGGGGATGGAATTACTGAAGAGATTTTCTTCTCCCTCCTGGATCAGTCGAAGCACTCCCCCAGTTCAGACTTTCTTTCTTGCTTAGTCTAAATTCCCTCCTGGTCAACAAGACTCTATATGATCTGGCGCTGCATGTGTCTTCATCTTTACTTCCCTCTACTCTTCCTTCTTTCATTAAGCAATAGCCACACTATCTTCCCCAGAATTCTCCTTAACATTAATGCCTCCAATTCATCACCCATTCACAACTCGTGTGGCACCAATTCAGAGAAGCTTCATTGACCAACTTTGCTAAATAAACCACCTATCTCCAATCTCTCCCTATCATGTTACCCTATTTATCTCTACACACAGATGCCTTTCAATGAATGATGTCCCACTTCTCAGGCTTTCCTTTCTCTCTGACTTCAGAAAAGCTTCCAGACAAGTGATCGTGCACGCAGAGGAGCGACTTCACTTCCTCTCCTCTCCTCCTTGTGGTTTAGGAGGTTGCTACCTATGACTTGTAATTTGGCTCCATCTTGTGGTTTGCATCCACCCCACCTGGAGCCTCCAAATCTGAGTAAGCCTAAGGTCTCCCAAGGTGGACTCCCCGGCACTTCCGTCCACTGGAAACGTTCTGCTGCCTCCTCCCTAGAGTCCCAACACCGCTCTTGAGACCTGGTCAGGTTCCCAGTTGCCCTTTATTCCTTTCCTCGGGCCTTCAGTATATGGATCTGCTTCAGGTACAAGTTCTTACTGTAATGCCTGAAACATGGTTAATGTTTAAAGCCCCAGCTGACTAAAACAAAATGTAGTCACCCTGCTCTCAAATTCCCTGATGACATGTCCGCATAAAGAAAAATAAATTAAAATTTGTTTTTCTGATATTAACAAGTATTGTTTTGTTAATACTATTATCTTTCATAATAGTATTGACTATTATTATTGAGCACTTCCAATGTGCCAAACACTAGTCTAACCAACTGATATTTGTCAAATCCAGTATCTCCACATTCACTAAGAAGCACACCAGATATTTCCTAAATTGTTGCATGAAACCGAAGTGTTTAGGAGAGTGTTAATAACCTAACCAAAAACAAATCAATAGAAGTAATATTTTTCTGTTAAAACATATTTTAATACATGTAAGGAAATGCCAAACTTAAATATGTATCTTTTTGTTTTTTGTTTTTTTTGAGACAGAGTCTTGCTCTGTTGCCCAGGCTGGAGTGCAGTGGTGCCATCTCAGCTCACTGCAACCTCCGCCTGCTGGGTTCAAGTGATTCTCCTGCCTCAGCCTACCGAGCAGCTGGGACTACAGGCATTCACCACCGCACCCAGCTAATTTTTGTATTTTTAGTAGAGATAGGGTTTCACCATATTGGCCAGGCTGGTCTCGAACTCCTGACCTTGTGATCCGTCCGCCTTGGCCTCCCAAAGTGAAGTATGTATCTTTATTATATAGTAATCTGCCTTTTAAAAATGATATGTCATTATTTGTAACAATTGAAAATTATTGGAAACATGCCTAGTAAGAGTACAATAGTTGAAAAAATTATAGTACATCTGCACAATGGAGTAATGCAAAGCTGTTAAAAAGAATGAGGAGATAGAAAAAATAAGTTCCAATGTTTGATAGCAGACTGGGGTGACTGTAGTCAGCAACAATATATATATATATATATATATATATATATATATATAGTATATTTCAAAGTAGCTAGAAGAGAGGACTTGAGATGTTGCCAACACATAGAAATGATAAATGCTCAAGGTGAAGGATACCCCAAATACCTGACTTGATCATTAGTCTCATTGTATGCATGTAACAGATACTCACATGTACCTCATAAATAAAATATGTAAAATATCATGTATCAATTAAAGGAAAAAGTCTAACGAAAAGGAATGAGAAAGATCTCTTTGAACTAATACGGAGGAATCTCTAGGTTAGAGTGGAAAATTCACAGTGCAATACAATGATTAAACTATGTACTGCCTTTGGGGTAAGAAAGAGGAAAGATACATATTTTTTCAAAAAGGTGGATTGGGTCAGATGTGGTGGCTTGTGCCTATAATCCCCACACTTTGGGAGGATGAAGTGGGAGGATCACTTGAGGTCAGGAATTTAACACCAGCCTGGCCAACATAGCAAGACTCTGTCTCTACATAAAATAAAAAAATTAGCCAGGCATGGTGGTACCCCCTGTAGTCCTAACTACTCAGGACGCTGAAGCAAGAGGATCATTTGAGCCTAGGAGTTCGAGGCTATAGTGAGTTATGATGGTGCCACTGCACTCCAGCTTGGGCAACAGAGTGAGACCATGTCTCCAAAGGGGGAAAAAAGCTGCATTGGAAGGATAAACAAGAAATTAATAAAAATGGCTACTTTTAGGAAGGAAGGGAGAATAGAAGTGAGAAGTGAATATTGACCTTTGAAACGTATAAATAATTTACAATGTTAATAAAAAATTGACAAAAACCTCTAAAATTTAAAACAAATAGAACTGAACCACACAGAAAAAATAAGTATCCCAAGTGATATTAAAAGATACTACTGTATGTTCTTGGTGGAATACATTTACTCTCTCTCTTCTCTCTCTATTTTTTGTTGTTGTTGTTGTTTGTTGTTTGTTGTTTTTTTAGACAGGGTCTTGCTCTGTTGCCAGCCAAGGCTGGAGTGCTGGAGTGCGCTGGTGTGATTATAGCTCAGTGCACCCTCAAATTCCTGGGCTCACGTGATCCTCCCACCTCGGTCTCCCAAGTACAGTAGCTGGGACTTCAGGAACATGCCACCATACCCAGTTAATTAAAATACATGTTTTAAATAGAAATGGGGTCTCATTATGTTGCCCCAGCTGACTTAATAGAATATATTCTAAGGACAAAAAGAACTATCAGAACTTTGAACATCATTCAGTTGTTTTATGGTTAAGTAATATTTGTATCCTTATTTGAAACTATACTATATATAAAATAAAGCAAATCAGTGATTATGTTAATATAATTAAGAACTAAGATTTTTAGGCCGGGGGCAGTGGCTCATCCCTGTAATCCCAACATTTTGGGAGGCCAAGGCGGGCGGATCACAAGGTCAGGCATTCAAGACCAGCCTGGCCAACACAGTGAAACCCCGTCTCTACTGAAAACACACAAAAAATCAGCTGGGTGTGGTGGCGGGCGCCTGTTATCCCAGGTACTCGGGCGGCTGAGGCAGGAGAATTGTTTGAACCTGGGAGGCAGAGGTTGAGGTCAGCGGAGATTGCACCATTGCACTCCAGCCTGGGCAACAGGGAGAGACTCCATCTCAAAGAAAAAAAAAAAAAAAAAAAAAGAACTAAGATTTTCATGTATAAAAAGCAAGTAAAAGTAGCTGAATTAAAATAATAATATTAGAAAAAATATTTGAACTAGAACTGTCAATTTTAACTAATGATTTACTAACATATATGTCCCTGCTCCAGCAAATGAAAGAGCCTAATAGTAGCCCTGTAGCAATGAGCATCCTCAATGCACAGATTGTAGTGTGTAAATATCATTTCCCACTCAAAGGAAATAGAGCTTCTTGGAGAAGTGACCAGTTCCAGGCCTGAGTTATGGAAAATACAAAGCAAGTGTGAGTATCTCATTGTTTTCATAAAACAAGGCACTGTTCAAAGACTAATAGAGTCATGTCAAAAAAACAGGTCAGCCAGTTTGAAGGAGCTTCCATTGGCCAAAACTGGAACAACTCAGACATCAAAAAGATGACTATAATATAATTAAACACATTGAGTATATAAAAATCCATGGGTTCCTATTAATAGTCGAATACAGATTTTAAAAAGTAAGCAACAACAACCCATTGATATTACCACTGGATGTGATCTTCCAATTCATAACACAGGAAATTGGTGCTTAAAGAAAACAAGTATATATCCTGACATTTCACAAGGAAATGTTCCACTGATGAAAAAAGGTCTACCCTTCAGAGTACCAGTGAATAAATGTTGGGAAAAATAACAGAATTAGAAAACCAGCATTTTGTAAGCCTAATGTGATCATTGATTCAGGGAAGGCATCATATATGTTAAAACCATTAGGAGAATAGACAGTGAGGAACAAGAGAGTCACATCATGCCAAAGTATCATGGTCATAGATTATTTGCTATTGTCAAATGGGAGAAATACCTTTACAGAGGTGATGGCTGTCATCACCTCGACTGAGTGATCAAGTTTAGCCTCACCAATAATAGGACAAGACATTAAGCATATGCTTCCTAATAAGATGAAATGCAAAGTACACAGCAATACCTATGAAGAATTATTGTCAAAAATCTTTCATCTAAATCTAGTCAAGCCTTTGTTTCAAAAAGTTCTAGTCTATAAAAAAAATACATTGGATAGAGGAATAAGTCAAATGAAACCACAAAGAACCAATCACACAAATTCAAAATGTGAGAGATTCTACTGGCCTTGTCTCTCTAAAAAGATGCTGTTTAAAAAATGGGTGGAATAGTGGGAATTAAGAGACATTACAATCAAATTTAGTGAATGATTCTTGGCAATATCTTTGAGGAAAAACAGATATAAAAGCACTTTTCAGACAAATGGGGAAATTTGAATATGAACTGGTAATCGATGATATTAGAGAGCTGTTTTCAGTTTTGTTTAGTATGATTACAGTACCACGGTTATGTATCAAGTCATCTTTATGCTAAAGTATTTAGGGATGAAATGCTAGATCTCTAATTTACTTCAGAATGAATTCAGAATACACACACAGTTCAAACAAACACAGCAAAATCTTGACAGTTGTTGAATCTATATGATGGGTATTTGTCTTAGTCCATTTTGTGTTGCCATAACAGAATACCACAGACTAGGTAATTTACCAAAAAAAAAAAAAAAAAAAAAAAAAAAGAAAAGAAAGAAATTTGTTTCTCACAGTTCTGGAGGCTGGGAAGCCTAATGTCAGGTGCCAACATCTGGCAAGGGCTTTCTTGCTGTGATGAAGAAAAAAGGCAGAAGAAAAAAGGAGGAGAGAAAGGATGAAGGAGAGGAAAGGAGTCAAACTCATCCTTTCATCAGGAATTCACTCCTGAGATGAGATAACTAATCCACTCTAGAGATGATGGCATTAAGCCCTTTATGAGGGCTCTGCCCATCTCTTTAAGAGATGACCTAATCGTATTTTAAAGGTCCCACTTCTCAACGTTGTTGCATTGGGGATTAAGTTTCCAATGTTTTATATATAACAACTTTTTGTTATGTATAAAATAAAGCAAATCAGTGATTATGTTCATGTAATTCAGAACTGAGATTTTTAATGTATGAAAAGCAAGTAAACGTAGTTGAATTAAAACAATAATATTAAATTTGAACTAGAAAAATATTTTGAACTAGAAATGTCAGTTTTAACTAATGATTTACTAATATATATGTCCTAGCTCTAGCAAAAGGAAGAGCCTAGTAACTTTGGGAGACACATTCAAACCATAGCAGCTTTCAAGTATTATTTTATTTTTTCCAAGTTTTCTGCAGGTTTGGAAATTTTCACAATTAAAGAGGTGTGTGTGTGTGTGTGTAATGCTTTATTATACTTGAAAATAGCAGGAAATTAAAGGAGAGAGCACTAGATTCCTGAACTCACAAGTTGATGTATGTCACCAATTGAATAACTTTTTTTTTTTTTTGAGACAGAGTCTCGCTCTGTTGCCCAGGCTGGAGTGCAATGGTGCAATCTCAGCTCACTGCACCCTCCACCTCCTGGGTTCAGGTGATTCTCCTGCCTCAGTCTCCCGAGTAGCTGGGATTACAGGCGCCCACGACCACGCCCAACTAATTTTTGTATTTTTAGTAGAGGCAGGGTTTCACCAGGTTGGCCAGGCTGGTCTCGATCTCCTGACCTCAGGTGATCCACCCACCTCAGCCTCCTAAAGTGCTGGGATTACAGGCATGAGCCACCGCTCCCAGCCTGTTCTGTAATATTTTATAATTTAAATAAATAATGTAAATGGGTTGTTCTTTTGTTTTAATTAAAATAAAATAAACATGATGTAATGCCTTTAAATTTTTGTTCCACTACATGGCTATTAAATACAGACATAAAATTTGACCATTTCCCCAGCAGATTTCTCATCCATAGGCTCAAAACCAACTCATTTTATTTTGGGAGCCCTACAATTACTTTATCAATATTATATCATTTGAAAAAAATGATCTGTAGTCAAAAGTTACTGTAACATTGTCTATAGACATCCCAGGAACACCAAGAATAAGTTCACCTAGAAAAATGTCATATAATTTTGTTTTTATAAGACATTAAAATGTTATATAAAAAATTATAAAACATTAAAATGTTATATAAAATTATAAAACATAAAAATGTTATGTAAAAAATTATTTTCCCCATATTTGAGATTTTATTGCCAATCCCAATCAGAAAACAGAAAAGAGGAATAAAAAATAGTAAAAATGGGCCGGGCGCAGTGGTTCACGCCTGTAATCCCAGCACTTTGGGAGGCCGAGGCGGGCGGATCACGAGGTCAGGAGATCGAGACCATCCTGGCTAACACGGTGAAACCCCGTCTCTATTAAAAATACAAAAAATTAGCCGGGCGTGGTGGCGGGCGCCTGTAGTCTCAGCTACTCGGGAGGCTGAGGCAGGAGAATGGCGTGAACCCGAGAGGCGGAGCTTGCAGTGAGCTGAGATCCCGCCACTGCACTCCAGCCTGGGCGACAAAGCGAGACTCCATTTCAAAAAAAAAAAAAAAAAAAAAAAAACAAAAAAAAAAAAAGTAAAAATGAAGAAGGTACTAAGTTTCCAAAATCTTAAAAAGTCTTTATAGTTTTTAAATCTCCTTCTTATGTAGTCAACGCAAGCCCAGACGCACGCCTACCCTTACCCCCAGCTTTCCTCTCACCATCCATCTCCTACAATCCAGTTCCCTCAGGCCTCTCTTCCTTCACAAAGGTCCCAGTGTCTAAGCCAAGCCTGAAGGTATGGTTAGGATGAATGGTAGGTATGAATAGTTACCATTTAGAAATTACGCAGTCTAAAGCGAATATTAATAGTTCAACTTAGCCTGGTTTCTCTTCGTGCAGCAAAAGCCATCACTGGAATTTCCTTTACTTATATTTATGGAATGAAGTCGTTCGTTTCTTATTTGTGTCTTCACACTTCTTAATAGTTCTCCAGCTAAGCTAAATTAATTGGGCTTGGTGAAAAAAATAAAATTTTCTACAGTATGCAGGAATCTTGTGTAGAAGCTGCATTTAAGAACATAGAAGAAAATGGAGACATTACAACTGACACTATAGAAATACAAAAGATCATCTAAGAATACTATAAACACCTCTACGCACACAAACTATAAAATCTAGAGGAAATGAATGAATTCCTGGAAGCATTCCTCTAAGCTTGAATCAGGAAGAAATAGAAATCCTGAACAAACCTAGAGGAAATGAATGAACTCCTGGAAGCATACAACCCTCTAAGCTTGAATCAGGAACAAATAGAAATCCTGAACAAACCAGTAACAAGTACTGATATTGAATCAGTAATAAAAAATCTTTTAAAAAAAAAAAAAGGCCCAGGACCAGATTCACAGCTGAATTCTACCAGATGTTCAAAGAAGAACTGGTACCAATCCTATTGAAACTATTCCAAAAGATTAAGAAAGAGAGAATCCTCCCCAACTCATTCTGTGAAGCCAGTGTTACCTGATGCCAAAGCCAGGAAAGAACACAACAAAAAGGAAAACTACAGAACAATATTCCTGATGAACATAGATGCAAAAATCTTCAACAGAATATTAACAAACCAAATCCATCAGCACATCAAAATGATAAATCACCATGATCAAGTGGGTTTCATCATAGGGAGGCAAGGATGGTTCAACATATGCAAGTCAATAAATGTGATTCACCACATAAACAGAATTTAAAACGAAGTCATATGATCATTTCAATCAATGCATAAAAAGCATTTGGTAAAATCCAGTATCCCTTTATAATAAAAAATTTCAACAAACTAGGCATAGAAGGAACAAACCTCAAAATTATAAAAGTCAGATATGATAAACACACAGCCAATATCATACTGAATGGATGAAAGTTGAAAGCCGGCCGGGCACAGTGGCTCACGCCTATAATGCCAGCAGTTTGGGAGGCCAAGGTGGGCAATTCACCTGAGGTCAGGAGTTCGACACCAGTCTGGTCAACAATAGTGAAACCTCATCTCTACTAAAAAAAAAAAAAAAAAAAAAAAATTAGCTAGGCATGGTGGGACTGCATGCCTGTAGTCCCAGCTACTTGGGAGGCTGAGGCAGGAGAATTGCTTGAACCTCGGAGGCAGGGGTTGCAGGGAGCTGAGGTCGCACCACTGCACTCCAGTCTGGGTGACAGAGTGAGACTCCGTCTCACACACACAAAAAAACAAAAACTGTCCAGGGGAACTTGTCCAGTCCCCCTAAGAACTGGACAAGACAAAGATGCCCACCTTCACCACTCCTATTCATCATAGTACTGGAAGTCCTAGCCAGAGAAAACAGACAAGGGAAAGCACACCCAAATTGGAAAAGAGGAAGTCAAATTATCTCTGTTTGCCAATAACATAATCTTATACCTAGAAAACGCTAAAGACTCCTCCAAAAGACTCTTAGATTTGATAAATGAATTCAGTAAAGTCTCAGGTTACAAAATCAACATACACAAATCAATAACACAGCTCTATACCAATAACGACCAACCTGACAATCAAATCAAGAACTCAATCTCACTTGCAATAGCTACAAAAAAAATTGTAAATGTCTAGGAATATACTTAACCAAGGAGGTGAAAGATCTCCCTAATGAGAACTACAAAACACTGATGAAAGAAATCATAGATGACACAAACAAATGGAAAACCATGCCATGCTCATAGATTGGAAGAATCAATATGAAAAATGACCATACTGCCCAAAGCAATCTACAGGTTTAATGCAATTCCTATCAAAATATCAGCATCATTTTTCACAGAATTAGAAAAAGCAATCCTAAAATTCATATGGAACAACAACAAAAAAAGCCTGGATAGCCAAAGCAATCCTAAACAAAAAGAATAAATCTGGAGGCATCACATTACCCAACTTCAAATTACACTACAAGGCTAGAGTAACCAAAACAGCATGGTACCGGTATAAAAGTACACAGTAGATCAATGGAACAGAATAGAGAACCCAGAAATAAAACCAAATACCTACAACCAACTAATCTTCAACGAAGCAGACAAAACAATACACTGAAGAAAGGACACCCTATTCAATAGATAGTGCTGGGAAAATTGGATTGACACAGGTAGAAGAACGAAACTAGGGCCGAGCGTGGTGGCTCACGCCTGTAATCCCAGCATTTTGGGAGGCTGAGGTGGGTGGATCATGAGGTCAGGAGTTTGAGATCAGCCTGGCCAACATAGTGAAACCCTGTCTCTACTAAAAAATACAAGATTTTGCCAGGAGTGGTGGCGTGCACCTGTAGTCCTGGCTACTTGGGAGGCTGAGGCAGGAGAATCACTTGAACCCAGGAGGTGGAGGTTGCAGTGAGCCGAGACCGTACCATTGCACTCTAGCCTGGGTGACAAACAAGACTCCATCTCAAAAAAAAATAAAAATAAAAATAATAAAACGAAACCAGATCCCTGTTTCTCAACATATACGAAAATTAACTCAAGATAGATTAACGACTTAAATCTAAGACCTGTGATCATAAAAATTCTGGAAGAAACCTTGGAAAAACTCTTATGAATATTGGCCTAGGCAAAGAATTTATGAATAGGACCTCAAAAACAAATCCAACAGAAGCAAAAATAAATAAATAGGACCTACCTAATTAAACTAAAAAGCTTCTGCACAGCAGAGGAAATAATCAAGAGTTAAACAGACAACCACAGAATGAGAGAAAATATTTGCAAATATCTGACAAAGGACTAATATCCAGAATCTAGAAGGAGCTCAAACAAATGAGAGAAAAAAAAAACCAAATAAATAATCCCATTAAAAAGTGAGCAAACGACATTGACAGACATTTCTCAAAAGAAGATATACAAATGTCCAGAAACATATGTAAAAATGTTCAACATCACTATCATCAGGGAAATGCAATTTTTTTTTTTTTTTTTTGAGACAGAGTTTCGCTCTTGTTGCCCAGGCTGGAGCGCAGTGGTGCGATCTTGGCTCACTGCAGCCTCCGCCTCCTGGGTTCAAGTGGTTCTCCTGCCTCAGCCTCCCGAGTAGCTGGGATTACAGGCATGCGCCACCATGCCCAGCTAATTTTGTATTTTTAGTAGAGATGGGGTTTCTCCATGTTGGTCAGGCTGGTCTTGAACTCCCACCTCAGCCTCCCAAAGTGCTGGGATTACAGGCGTGAGCCATCGCGCCCAGCCTGGAAATGCAAATTAAAACCACAATGAGATACTACCTTATCCCAGCCAGTATCATTGATATTAAAAAGTCAAAAAGCAATAGATGTTGGCAAGGATGCAGTGAAAAGGGATAGCTTATACATTGCTGGTGGGAATGTAAATTAGTACAACCTCTGTGGAAAACACTATGGAGATTTCTCAAAGAACTAAAAGTAGTTCTACCATTTGATCTAGCAGTCCCACTCCTGGGTATCTACCCAAAAGAAAAGAAGTCATTATATCAAAAAGACATAGAATTCACAATTGCAGAGGTATGGAATCAACCTAAGTGCCCATAAACTGATGAGTGGATAAGAAAATGTGATGTGTATATACCATGAAATCGTACTCATCCATAAAAAAGAATGAAATAATATATTTTCCAGCAACTTGGATGGAACTGGACCATTTTCCTAAGTGAAGTAACTCAGGAACAGAAAACCAAGTACTACGTGTTCTCATTGTTAAAGAAAAAAAACCTTAGACGAATGAAATTCAACAGAGTTTAATTGAGCAAAGAACAATTTGTGAATTGGGGAGCCTTCTGAGCCAGAGTAGGCTGAGAGACTCCAGAACAGCCAAGTGGTGGAATATTTATGAACAGAAAAAGTAAAGTGATGTACAGAAAACAGACATGAGGTACAGAAACAGCAGGATTGGTTGAAGCTTGGCATTTGTCTTATTTGAACACAGTTTGAACAGTTGATCACCTTTGATTGGCCAAAACTCAGTGATTGGCACTAGAGTAGGTTTCAGTCTGATTACACATCAAGTTAGGTTTCAGTTTACTATGTATGGAGAAACCTTTAGGCTGAACTTAAAACATGTAAGGAAGCAGCTTTAGGCTAAACCTAATTTAACACTCACTTGTAAGTAGGAGCTAAGCTATGGGTATGCAAAGCCATACAGAGTAGTATAACGGACATTGGAGACACAGAAGTGGGGAGTGGGGTGAAGGATGAAAAATTATTTACTGAGTACAATATACACTATTGGGTAATGGGTACACTAAAAGCCCAGACTTCACCACTATACAATTCATCCATGTAAATAAAAGCCACCTGTACTCCTAAAGCTATCGAAATAAAAATAATAAAAATAAAATTCTAGGCTCGGCCTGGTGGGTCATGCCTGTAATCCCAGCACTTTGGGAGGCCGAGATGGGCGGATCGCTTGAGGCCAGGAGTTTGAGACCAGCCTGGCCAACATGGCGAAAACCCGTCTCTACTAAAAATACAAAAATTAGTCCAGCATGGTGGCAGGTGCCTGTAATCCCAGCTACTTGGGAGGCTGAAGCAGGAGAATTGCTTGAACCCAGGAGGTGGAGGTTGCAGTGAGCCGAGATCGTGCCACTGCACTCCAGCCTAGGCGACAGAGCAAGACTGTGTCTCAAAATAAATAAATAAATAAATAAATAAAGTTCTAAAAAGATTGAGGTGTGTGTGTGACTGTGTGTATGTGTGTGCATGCATGTGTGTGTGTGTTCATCTCTAGCCTCATTCTTTAGCTCAGGTTGGTGGAGTTAACAATATCTGGAAGTTTTTGCTAAGTTTTACTTCTGAATTCCTTGTTTGCTTATATCTAGAATATAACTAGAAATGTTTGGTATGTAAAGATATAAACTTTGAAATTAGCCTTATCTTGTCTCACTAGCTCTGTGATCTTATGCACATTAACTTAGAGTTTCCTCCTCTCTAAAATAAAAATAATAACATATGTGTGGTAGGAACGTCATGTGGACCAAAAAAGATGACTATGAAAAGTGCCCATCAATATACACCTGGCAGATAGCAACGGCTCAGTGAGTGTCAGTTCCCTTTCCTTGGCTTTCTCCTTCTCTCTCAGTTTCCCCAGACTCAGAGGAAAAGAAGATTCTTTCTGTTTTGTTTTCTACCTGACTCTGAAGTTCAGGACAGATGCTTTTGATACCCCCTGCAGTAACATCAGCCACCTTCCTCCCAATCACAGAACTGCTTTCTGAGGTAGCTTTTCAACCCCAAGCTGCTCCCTCAGTTGCTCATCATTCTCTCCTTCCCTCAATTTTTGTCTCTTGCCTTACTCCCTGGCCAAATGATTGGTTAAATAGTTGTGGGGCTCTGTAGGGTCTATTTGCAAGACCAAAGGCAGTGATAGAAGGACATGAGATCACTGGGAATCAGCCTGAATAGCAGAGATGGATTTAAGAACAGTAAATCAGTGGGTTGTGTTATTGTGGTTGGAAACAGGTCCAGAACAGAATGCAGAATTTTAAGAGGAAGTCTAAGCACAGTGTCATAGCCAGTTTCAACACCAGGTCACAGACCAGACATCAGGGAATTGGGGGCCAAGTAAGGAAAGTTCCTTACAGAAGGCAGGGTGTGCAACCTGAAGCTTGACATAGCAATCAAAGGGCACAGAGATTGGGCAGTGCCAGTGCTTTCTTAAATCAAGAATACAGAATAATATGTCATGGTAACCATGGATCTGGAAGAACAAGCATCATTTTATTTTGCATCAGAGAGAATGAAGTTTCACTCTGACAGGGATGCAGGACTGCTTGGCCCTTGTAACTATCATTTTGTAACTTTTCAGCTTCCACTTACCTGGGGTTACTTAAGAGTTAAAAGAGTATAAGTAAACTTAGAAAACCTTGAGAACTGCTTTAAAACAATTATTTTTGGGTGGGGCATGGTGGCTCATGCCTGTAATCCCAGCATTTGGGGAGGCAGTTGCGGGTGGATCGGATCACTTGAGATCAGAAGTTCGAGACCAGACTGGCCAACATGGGGAAACCCCATCTCTACTAAACATACAAAAATTATCTGGGTGCGGTGGTGCACACCTGTAGTCTCCAGCTACTTGGGAGGCTGAGGCACGAGAACTGCTTGAACCTGGGAGGCAGAGGTTGCAATGAGCCAAGATTGTGCCACTGTACTCAAGCCTGGGCTACAGAGCAAGACTCTGTCTTTAAAAACATTATTTTTGAGAGAGAGGAGAAAATCGGTAGATGAAACTGCAAAATGTCTCTTTTTTTTTTTTTTTTTTGCAGGAACTCTGGGTGAGAAACAAAACCATGCAGGAAGACAAGGTAATAACTGTCTTTCTTGGAAGAACTGTCATTGTCTCTACAACCTGCCTTCATAGAGAAGCCAGTTCCAACACATCTTCTGCAGGGGCAGAAGAGGGGAAAGTATTCATCAATTAACCAGTGTTACCTTCTCATAGTCTCAGCAATTAGAATAGCAACTGACTCCATGAGGTCTGACAGTGGCAGCTAATAGAAGAACTGCTCTTTTTTTGTTTGTCAAACACCAGCAAAAATGCTTATCGCTGGAGAATAAATCCCTTTTCTCCTTCAATCTCAAATCAAACATTAGCTTGTCTGACAAAATGAGCAAGGTCCTCATTTGGCAAAGAGATGAAAGAAATATTTTATTATGTAGAAATATTCACTTACTGTACAAGGACACAAAAATACTTGAAGTTTGGGGTTGGTTGGAAAGCTTGGCAAGGATGATGAGTTCCTCTTACTCACATGAGAGGTTATTCTTATTTTGACCTCCTTAGTTGAGGTGAGGCCTCACTGCAAGTGACAGGTCTGATGATAACCCAGGAAGGGAGGTCTTCACTGGTGTGGTGGGGATAGGGCAGGGCATGAAGGGAGAGGTGAGTGATGGGCCCTGAAACAACACAGTATAGCTGAAAGACATGGACTAGTGACAGAGTCGTGTGAGAGTCCAGGCTGATGAGGGGCACTGAGAGAAGGGACAGAGGAAGGCTCAACAGACCTCAATGGCTGAACAGGGAGTTGGGGGAGAATAAGGGGAAGAAACTAGGCAGCTATAGAACTGTTACTAAATGTCTGTTTCCTCATGTATAAAATGGTGATGAGTACCTACCTCTTAGGATTATTATGAAGACTAAATTGCAAAAGTGCTCATAAGTGTCTGGTACATAGTAAACTCTATATAAGTGCTTGTTCCTTATAGCAGGGGTCCCCCAACCTCTGGGCCACTGAACACTACCAGTCCGTGGCCTGGTAGGAACTGGGGTGCACAGCAGGAGGTGAGCAGCGAGCAAGCTCTGCCTCTTGTCAGATCAGCAGTGGCATTAGATTCTCACAGGACTGCAAACCCTATTGTGAACTGAGCATGCGAGGGAAGGTTGCAAACTCCTTTTGAGAATCTAATGCCTGGTGATCTGAAGTAGAACAGTTTGATCTGGAAACCATTCTCCCCGCCTCCATCCATAGAAAAGTTGTCTTCCACAAAACCAGTCCTTGGTGCCAAAAAAGCTGGGGACTGCTGACTTAGAGAACTCACTGCGAGGGACATGTTTGGGGAAAAAGGTAGAATCTTTTCTAAAAATGTGTGCACGAGCTTATGGGACCTTGCCATTAGGCATTGCATTAGGCACTTGGAACTTTGACTCAAGGTTTGATATGGGGGCAGTTTCCCCCATGCTGTTCTCGTGATAGTGAGTTCTCACGAGATCTTATGGTTTTATAAGGGGCTTCCCCACTTCACTTTGGCACTCATTCTCCTGCCACCCTGTGAAGAGGTGTCTTCCGCCATGATTGTAAGTTTCCTGAGGCCTCCCCAGCCATGCAGAACTGTGAGTCAATTAAACCTCTTTCCTTTATAAATCACCTAGTCTCAGGTATTTCCTCATAGCCATGTGAGAATGGACTAATACAAGGTCTAAACAGAGACACAGATTTTATGGGTGGGAGGTGCCTCCAGAGGAATGGGTAAACTTGCTTAAAAATACTGTGCAAATAAAAAGAGGACAAAGAAAGGTGTCATAAGGGACAATATATTATGGGAGGCAGAGGCAGAGACTTTAAAGAAGCAGACTAAGAAATGGCTGTCTGAAAAGTATGAGAGCTAGGAACAAGTGGTGTCAAGTCAAAGAAGTCAGGAGATGCAGGGTGCGGTGGCTCATGCCTGTAATCCCAGCTACTCAGGAGGCTGAGGCAAGAGCATTACTTGAGCCCAGAAGGTCGAAGCTACAGTGAGCTATGATCACACCACTGCACTCCAGCCTGGGTGACAGAAATCCTCTTTCTTAAAAATAAATAAATAAATCAATATAAAATAAAATGCTAGGGAAGCCCCATGGGATGCTTCAGAGGTAAAGGGAGATAAGGACTAAAAAGGCCTAATCTCCTTCTTTTGTGACCCTCTGGGTCATAAAAATGAAGGCTCACATTTTAAGAGTTGAAGTTTAGGAAAGTAAGAAGGGAAGAACCACCTAACCTCGGGGGCAGGACACAAAAATGACAATAGATTCAGGAGGCAATCGTGGGTAACACGCCCAACAGGTGGCGCCAAATACCTTCAGTGGCAGTCTACAAGAGCCTCAGAACCCCTGCCCCTTCGGCAAGCCATGCTGGAGGGAGCTCCATTCAAATCTGCCAGTCAGCCAGGTGGCACTCCTTTAGTCAACAAAATATCAAGCTTCCACTATTGGAAAGCTCTGTGCTAGGGACTCTGAGAGCTGTATGTCTGCAAGTGCACGTGTGCTCTGCTGTTCCTTTAACGTGTGGAGACAAGAACCTTTTGAGAATAAGTCCCATCTATTTTAACTCCTACATAGCTCTCAAATCTATCTACATTTCTTCATCTACATTGCTGCCTTTCTCTTCTACACCACTATTCTCACTGGCTGGGATTAACTGCTGCAATTGCTTTCTAAACTATCCACTCTCAACACCCCACCAACCCTAACATGATTGTCCCTAGTGCAATTTCCTTAAAGCATGTCTATCTCCTAGCTCCCTACTGGCCCACAGCACTGGAAGTCTAGTGCAGTAGTTATAAATGTGGACCCTGAAGCCAGATCGCCTGGTTTCAAAACCCACCTCCAGTGCTCACTGACAATGTGGTGATGTTGGGCAAATTGACTAATCTCTCTGTGCCTCATTTCTTTATCTGTTAAATGCAGACAAGATGTACCTCACAGGATTATAGTGAGGACCAAATGAGTTTACAGGGTAAGTTTTTATTTAGCACAGTGCATGGGACACAGTAAGTGCTCAATAAATGTTAGCTATTAGTCTTTGAGATGTAAATTCAAAGCATCTCAAAGCACTCACCTTCATCCTTGCTGCTTCAGCATCACCTAGTTACCTTCTCAGTTGCTGTTTCTTCTGCTGGCAATGTTCACTACTCCCTGCTCCCACCCATCCACCCCTTACAAACAGGAAGGAACTCATCGTTCTGAGATATCTGAATAGCTCTCAGCTTAGACCAGAGAACCCTCTTTTCTAAATTCTTGCTAGACCTCTGCACATTGTCCTGTTAGAATTACTTATTTTTGTTAAAAATCGTGTGACTAGTTGTCTAATGCTGCCCCTTTCCCCGATCCTAGAATATAAATTGAGAGCAAGAAGCTGTCGTCTCATTCAGTGCTGGAGACCAGCTGGTGGGATTTTGTGAGTATCTTTAGGGTGATGACCCAGGAAAAAATGAAATCATGGTGACAACACATTAGTTCCATGCTACCATTCCCACATCTCCTTCCCAGCTCTCCATTACAGCCACTCTCTAATTGCTCAGGAAAATCTTCCTCCAGTCTTGCACTAAGCCCCAGAGTAACACCAGTCACCTCTGGTCCTTGTCCTGGGAGTCCTTCATGCTGGTCACTCATGGAAGCAGGGCCTTCCAATCAAGGTAGTCCCGAGTGAACCTAAGAGCAGGACTTTGGGGAAGGTTACAGGCAGGCTGGAACTGGGGTCCACATATGGGTGCACAATAAGGATGGTCTGTGAAGACCAAGTCATGCCTATATCTTGGATTCAATCAGTATAATTACCACACCATGATGGTTAATAATTGCACCCTATTCGTGCTAAGCAAACTCCATGATAAGACCTTGTCTTATCTTCACCTTATACCCTCTGGCTTGGCAACGTCCAGGTCTACAGGCCTAACAGTTTGCTGAAAAGGCAATCAAGGGAACTCAATAAATGTGTGACTGAGTAAATAAGACCGACTCTCACCTTCCCCCACAACCCAACAAAAGGCTTCCTATGGACGCAATAAAAGGCAGTAAATGGCAGCATGAGGGGAGAGGGAAAAAGCAGCAGCAATAGAACCCATGATTCCAAGAGCTGAGAGGAGCATAGGGGGAAATAATGCCCACAGGACTCCACTAGTCCTTTGAGTTGTGCTGGAGACTGCTATTTTGGAATAAAGTCCTTTGGCAACCAAGATGGAACTCAACCAAACTCCTGAAACAATTACAATCCCTAAGTGAGACAGGCTTGAAATAAGTTCAAACTAAAGTCAATTAAGAGACTAGTCCAATTGGTTTAAGGCAGGTCTGAAGCCCCTGTGTCAGCCAGCCCTTCTCTCTCTTAAAGCATTTAGGGCGGTCTGGGTTCCATTTACAGGGAATTAAGTACTCAGGGGCCTCCAATGTCAGGTTGAAACTTTTATTTTTCCGAACTACAGAAAACAAACCTTAAAAGTACATGAGCAGAAGGGGCTGCAGTCAGACAAAATATTCTATATTTTGTCCCAAAACTAATCCAACTAAATCCTTCAATTCCCTCTGAAATGAGATGTAATCCTTGACATAGACATGCACTTAGCTTAAATCTATTTACTCCGATTTTCAGAACTTTAATTTGTATCTCATCACCTATTGCCCAACGCGTCTCTATTAAGTACTTACGAATCCTCAACATCTGTTATTCTCAAAAGGGAACCAGAGCTCAAAGGGAGCTCAAGAGCTTTCACTGGTGCACACAAGTTAGCAAGAAAGCCCAAACAAGGGTTTGTTTCCCTCTAAGTGCTTGGCAAACAGTAGCAGGTGGTTCACAAACCTAATTTTTTATTACCATCTCCCGAGCTTTTGAAAATTGTTGCTCAAGCCCCAGTTTAGCCGGAATTCCTAAAGAGGGCTGAGCATCACTAGTAAAATTTATTGCTTCCTACATTTAGTTTGTGGTGTTGCCCTACACTTAGTTTGTGGTGTCATTTACAGCAAAATAAACCATTTGCTTTACTACATTCCTGATTCTAATTTCCACGTCTCTATCCAGGTTTCCTACTATGGTACACTATACTAAGCAAATGTCTCACTTTTCCAGTATTAAAGCCCCAAATTCCAGAATGCACACATCCCAACCCCCTAAACTTTTTATACAACCCTTCTCTCCCCTTAGCAAGACAAGGGGGTATGCAGAAAGCACAGTTTTGTGATTTAATCGTTGGAATACTCTTTAGTATTCTACTAATAAACTATCTGTAAATTTGTGTGTGACCATGGCAGCAAAATTTAACAATGTTTAACAATGTAGTAGGCCCAATTACTTTTTTTTTTGAGACGGAGTGTCTACCACCCAGGCTGGAGTGCAGTGGCGCGATCTCGGCTCACTGAACCCCGCCTCCCGAGTTCACGCCATTCTGCTGCCTCAGCCTCCCGAGTAGCTGGGACTACAGGTACCCGCCACCTCGCCCAGCTAATTTTTTTTTAGTAGACAGGGTTTCACCATGGTCTCGATCTCCTGACCTCGTGATCTGCCCGCCTCGGCCTCCCAAAGTGCTGGGATTACAGGCCAATTTCCTTTTAAAAGGCAATAAACTCAATGCATAAAGTACTTATGTTCGGCTACCTCCCACCCTTTTCTCATATTTTAAGTCTGCTCAGGAGAAAATTCACACATCCAGTGCCACAGGGAAAAACCTAAAGCCTACCTCAAAATTTTGAGTTCTTGGTTAAAGCATGAATGAGCCACAGTACTATTTTTCATTTAAACAAGAGCAAATTGTAGACCTAAAGATTACTTCTAAGGACTCAATTTACAAAAGTCATATTTACTTTATTAAAAACACAGCAAAAGCCTACTGGTTTAAAAATTAAGACAATCCAATTATAGGTTAGCTATTGCCTTTTCTCACTGCAGTAATATTTCCCTCAAAATTATCAAGACAATTCTTATGATGTTCCTTTTGAAACACTACAAAAGCAAATATTAAGGTAACTCAAAACTTGAATAATATTTTCTTTATTTACAAGTTAGAATCAACAAAGACAGTCCAGGGGACCAAATGGGGAGATGACTGAAACCCCCAGGGCCCCAAATGGAGCGGAAGGAAAAAGGGAAAACAGAGTAGAAAAAAAAAAATCAACGTAAAAAAAGAGCTCCCCCTTCTTCCCTCCCCATGGAGGCTGAGGGGACCACGGCCCCACCCTCCCCCCAGCCTTACCTAGCTTAAAATAAATTAGAACAAACAATCTCAAAACAGGGCCCTTAGAAGTGAATAGGGCAGCTATGGCCTCAGGTAACTCCAGATCAGGGCTTTGCACACTCCCACCCTTGCCCTGCCCCATTTTGAATGGGGGCTCTGTGTCCAAGAGATCACTCCCCAATGGGGCTGGGAATTCAATGTTGTTTTGTCCATGTCCCTCCTTCAGTAAATGTCCCTGCATCCCTCCCCCACTGCAGAGCCAGCTCTCCTAGAGGGGGGCAGGGGGGGGTGAGATGAAGAAGTGTCACAGCAAAGGGGGAAGGGGCAGGTGGGGCAGGGTGGTCTAGGGGTCCGGTCCTGCGGAGCCTTCCTGCCCCATCTGGCCTGACCCCTTAGCCTGAGTCTGAATCACTGGTGTCTGAAGACGACGACGAGGAAGAGGAGGAGCTGGAATCTGAGCTAGAGCTGGAAGCGCTAAGGCGTGACACTGCTACTTGCTGTGCAGAGGATGACTCTGTTTTCTCATTCGCTGCAGAACAAATTCGAAAGTTAAAGACGTTCAAGTCTGAATCTTCATTTGTCAATAAAAGACAGTCAAGAAGGCAGGATGGAGTCAATCTGTAGTGGCATGAAAGTATATACTCACCTTTCTTGGGGGGCTTTTTAGTAGAATTGAGCTGTCCGCTGACATCTTGTAACCGCTTTTCTAATTCCCGCTTTTTCTCCAAAGCCAGTTCCTCCTTTGTCTTTCCCACAGGCTTCTTAATGGCTAATGAAAGAAATTTATCAGGATACATTAAGATTGCCCCAAGCATCTTATTATGGGCCCCTAAGGTTCCCAAGTTCCCTTCTTGAACGTCAGCTGCCAACCAACACATCCCATTATCCTGGGAGCTGACAATCCTGAATGCAAACAGACCCCACCATCTTTCCTCAACTGTCCTCAGAACCATGAGATGAACCTCATTTCATACGTACTGTAGGGCTTCCGGGGTTTCTTACGTAGGCAGGAAAGGACATAGCGCTCAAGCTCTCTAAGTGTGGATGGCTTGAGTGTTTCAAAATCAATCTCAATCTCTTCTGGGTTTGAATCACGTAAAGAGGGCTCCCTGGCTTGGATTATATGCACAACTCGGCCCAGCTTCTCCCCAGGTAATTTGTTGATGTCCAGGCTCAGCTGCCGCTTCTCATCGTAACTCATGGGCCTGCTCTCTTCCTCCTCCTCTGAATCATAACCTGTAGGCAGGGCAGGTGGGGCTGTCTTTGTGGCCTTTTTGGGGAGCCTAAGGGCAAAAAGAGTTGTCAGCAAAAGAAGCTTCATTAACCTCTTCCAGTATGTTCCCACTGTTATAATTCAGTGATCCTATTTCCTGCCCAGAGTGGAGCTTCTGTTTTTCCATTCAATGGCCAAGTAAGAGGTGGGCTACTGGGACACTGTATAGTGAAACAGAGCATTTTGCTCTTGACTGTAAGTAGGCAATAACATGTCTTTAAAAAGACAATGTACGTACATACCTTAATGAAAAAATATTACTAAAAATGTGACACACAAACATGTTGGAAAAACTGTTGAAAGACTTGCTCCACACAGGGTTGTCACAAATCTTCAACTAAAAAAAAAAGTAGTATCTAAAAAAAACTCCGTAAAGTGAAGCACAATAAAACAAGGTATACCTGTTTAGGTATACTGACATGGGTCTTTCTGCTCCCTTAAACACTACCAAACTACACCATGGGCCAGCTGCAGTGGCTCAGATTTGTAATCCCAGCACTTTGGGAGGCCAAGGCGGGCAGATCACTTGAGGTCAGGAGTTCAAGACCAGCCTGCCCAACATGGCGAAACCCCGTCTCCACTAAAACTACATAAACTAGCTGCGCACTAAAAATACAAAAATTAGCTGGGCGTGGTGGCGCATGCCTGTAATCCTGGCTACTTGGGAGGCTGAGGCAGGAGAATCGCTTGAACCCGAGAAGTGGAGGTTGCAGTAAGCCGAGATCACGCCACTGCACTCCAGCCTGGAGTCTTTAAAAAAAACAAAACAAAAAACAAACTAACAAAAAAAAAAACAAAACACAAAACCACACCAAAAAACCAAAAACTACTACGCCATGAAAAACAAGTCTAGACTCATTGATTTAGAGCAACAGGCAAACTATATGGCCCAGAGAACAAATCTGATCGCCACGTGTCTTTGCAAATAAAGTCTTTTTGGAACACAGCCATCTTCATGTTTCTAGTTTATGGCTACTTTGAGTTCACTGTCAGAGTAGCTGTGAAACACCCTGACTCCCAAAGCCAGGGGTCCCAACCCCCAGACCAGTACCAGTCCGTGGCCTGTTACTGGGCTACGCAGGAGGTGAACAGCCGGCATGTGGGCATCACTGCCTGTCACATCAGCAGAAGCATTAGATTCTCATAGAAGCATGAACCCTACTGTGAAGTGCGCATGGTACATATCCAGGCTGCATGCTCCTTATGGGAATCCAATGGCCCAATGATCTGAGGTGGAACAGTTTCATCCCAAAAACCATCCCCTCAAACCCTGTCTGTGGTAAAATCTGTCTTCCACGAAACTGGTCCCTGGTGCCAAAAAGGTTGGGGACCACTGCTCAAAGCCTATTGTATCTGTTAACTGGCCATTTAGAATTATCTTTGCAAAGAGAGATGGCATCCCCCAGAGAGACAGAAATAGCCAAACTAGTCTCTGCTTCCTACTCTAACTCACTTGGTGCCACTTCCTCCAGAAGGTCCAAAGCCAGAAGGGCCTAAAGCAGCACTGCCACCCCCACTGCCACTTGCTTTCTTGGACTTCTTAGGTTGAGGTGGGCGGGGTGCCCTAGGCCCCTTGTCATCTTCATCGGCCCCAGCTCGGCCTCGATGCTTCTCTGCCTTCCGTTTCTTCTTTTTCTCTTTTTTCTCTCTTTTCCTCTTGGGCTTGGATATTGGACCCTGGGACAGAGCAGCCAGTTGTTCATGTACTGCCCGAAGCTAAAGGAAAAAAAACATGAAGTGGAAAAAGTAAATAAAGATAAAATAACAAGAAGAAAAAATGAGGACAAAGGGCATGAACCTCTTACCCAATAAAAACTTTCAAGAGTGACAAAATACCTGTTCCTGTAGTTCTGCTAAGCGATGAGCCCTTTCTTCCTCTGAGTCTGAGCTTTCACTCTCTTCTTCCTCCTCGTCCTCCTCATCTTCCTCCTCCTCTTCCTCAGAGGAGCTCTCACTGCTACTTTCCTCACTGGAGGACTCTGAAGACGATTTGGCCAAGCCAGGGGGCATGGCAGTAGAGACTGGTAAAGGCCCTGGTTCTAGTGGTTCATCTGGCATCTTGGCATAACGGAACTCAAATACATCCTAGAAAGAGGCACAAACTCAAAACTATGCTGATAAACAGTGCCCTACATACCCAGCCACCAAGTGATATAGCTCCAATTTACAACTGTACAGAACAGTGAGACCCTCACGTTGAGGCTATGCAGCACACATGACAAAATAACTCCCCATACCATTTATTTTTCAAACTCCAACCTTTCCACTCACCTGTAGCTTTCGTGCCATTGCCACAACATCGTGATCTGGGGGATTGTACTTATAGCAGTTGGAGAACATAAGCCGTACATCAGCAGCAAACTCCTGTGCATCCCGGTAATCACGGTTCTCCATCTTCCGCTGCAGAAGGAGGCAGCATCAGAAGCTGCACAGGCAGGAAGACTCACCTTTCCCTGCCAACCCCAGACACCACAAGAAGAGCCCTCTCTTGAGAGCACAGTGGGGATGACCTTAAGGATCTGTGCCCTGGGGTTCAAGTTTGAAGTCAAAGGAATTTGGGTGGGTTGAAGAAATATTTATGTCTAGAAAAAGAAATCATTTCTAAGTGACAGAGAGGTGGCCTATGCCTGTCTTTCCACCCTATAACTTCCTTAACCCAACACTGCCACATTAGTACTTAATTATAGACAGTATTTTTCTCAAGACAAAGAAACCCCACCCTACTGTTTCAAACTCCAAGAAATACAAATTCTCAAAACACCAGACCTTCTGTTCCACTATTATTTTATAAAAGTAAAATGCCAAGAACCAAAGACTGCTGTGTGCCCACATAAGGAGACTTATTGTTTTGCACCTAGGCTCCCATCACTGCCTGAGCATCCCATCTGCCCCATGCAGTGGGTACCTTGACAGTGCTGAGGTCCATGGGGTGCTTAATGATGTCATGGTAGTCATGCAGGCCAAGTGCAGAAGCATCCACTGGTTTATAGAAAGGCCAAGCATAGGCAGCATGCTTCTTAGAGAGTAACTCCTTCAAAATGCCATTGCAATGTTTTAACTGTTCTGAAAGCTTTCCTTTCTTAGAGCTCTGGTGTTGTTGCTGAGAGTCAGGCAAGTCTTTGCGTGGGGGCTTGATGGGGCGACCACTCTCTCTACGCATAGGGGGAAGCCGTGCTGCCTTAGGCTCAAGACTCCCAGGAGGGCTAGCTGGAGAACCAGGAGCCAAGATGGCTGTAGGTGTAGGGGTGGTAGTATCTGCTTTCCGCTTTACGCCTTTTTTCTGCAGAAAGAAACAAGATAGGGAACCTGTCACTCCAAGCCCACTTTACTTAAGACCCTTGCCTCCCTGCTGCCCAGAGGAAATCCACAGATCATACCTTGGCAAGGGGCTGGGCTGGAGGAGCTGCAGTAACAGCAAGGAGCGGGGGTCCAGCAGAGTGCAAGGACTTGAGAAGTGGAGAGGAAATGACTGATGGGTGGGGAATGTTGAGGACAGTGGTAGGTATCTCAGGTGGAGGAGTATAGAGGGCTGTGTGTGACACAGAAGAGACGGCAGGCACCTGATGGGCACTGGTAACACTGCCCTGGAGCGCTAGAAAAAAGGAAAAAAGTGTAGTTTGATTCTCTTCCCCATCTTTAGTTGTCCATTTGCAAAACTCCCACTCTTCCTACCTGCCAACTTGGCCCCCTTCTTGTGGCTGTTCTTAGGGATGGTCACTACCAGCTCTTGTTCTTCTTGTGGCATTGATGCAACCTTCTGTAGGAATATCTTTTCCAGCGTTTGTGCCATTAGGACAATATCATCAGTGGGCTATGAGAACACAGACAGCAATAAAGAAAGTTAAAAAATGCCAACAGAAGATAGATACACACCATCTTTCTCAGAGGCATTCAGGCCCTAGGCCATTACCATACCCCCACCAGTCATCTTGTCATCAAATCTTAAAGAAAATTTCCTACTCCAGGCCACTACTAATTTCCACTTTCTCCTAACTGTCTCCCAAAATTCGAAAGAAGAAAAAACTTGAGAGCTGACAAGAAAACAGATCCCTGGTCTACTCAGGTCTCTGGTGATTTCTAAGAAACAGGACCACCACCCCCAAGTATGAAGTGTTCTAAATAACCTTCAACTAGAGCTCTGAAGTCACATCACTGTGTTCAATAGTACCATCTAGAGTCAGGTTTTTAAGACTCCGACTACCCTACCTGGATAACACCTTCAGTAGCAAAGGATTTAAACTTTATGTAGACAACATATCCAGCAATAATAGAAGTTACTGTTTCTCCCCACCTACTAAATGAACACACAGAAAAACTCACCTTGTTGTAAATGTAACAGTTGGTGAACATGGTATTAAAATCTTGCATACACTCTGAAGCAGCCCAATAATAATTGTTTTCAAGTCTCCTCTTAATAGTACCCATGTCCATAGGCTGTTTTATAATTTTGTGATAATCCTAAATAAAAAAATGTTAGGTCAGAACCACAGAAAAATAAATGCTTATAGGGAGACTACCGATCCCCGACTCTCACACACACACACACACACACACACACACCCCCTATGCATCAAAGGAACAGTTACTTAAACTGCGGCCCCAATTAAACTGTGGGACAAAATAAATAAATAAATAAAAAAGATTCTTGACATCCACAGGGAGGCCCCTGCTGCCTTTCTCTAACCACCCACCTCCCACCCACTCTGGAAACTTCCCATCCTGTGACATTACCTCTGGGGCTGGCTATCCATGGGCTGCATGAGGGAAAGGAAGAAGCTAAGAATTTTGGCCACCGTGGTCCTCTCCCAACCCGAGGTGGGAATCTGTAAAATGGAGCCAGGGCACAAAAGTTAAGGAAGGACACATGGAGGGCACAAGGAAAGATGCCAAGATAGTTACAGCAAGCGGTCGGATCAATCACAAAGGACCAAGATACCCAGAAATCTGGTAGCTAACTGCCCTACAGGGGAGAAATGGGAACTCCCTAGGGGCCGCAGCATCTACACTAGGCAGACCACCCCCATTCACACGCATTCTTGCTCATCCCACACCTCCCCGGCTCCAATGTCTCTACTCACCGGTAGACCCAGTTTGACAGCATCCACAGGCTGCCGGAATGGCCATGCGAACTGATGTTTCCACAGAGCCTTCATCACTACCTTGTGTAGGTATTGCAGCTGGTTGGTAACTCGTCCTGGCTTTTTGGGATTGGACACCTCCGGGGGTGGTGGGTTGGCAGGGGTAAGTTGCAAAGCAGGCACCGAAGCCATTGTGGGGCTCTCAAAGCCCTCATACAAGAGAGAGGGTTTTCGAATCCTCTTCCCTGGTGCTGCTGCTTCTGGGCCCAGCCCCAGCAACCCTGCATTCCCTTCCCCAGGGAGCCTGTAAAGATGGGAACAAAATTAGGGCAATATCGTCCAAATGAGGAAAAAGTGCATCTGCACAATAGTCTGATGAATCCAGGTGCTGGCCCTAGTGAGGTGGTTAAGCTTATGCCAAGTGCTTCTTAAGCAGAAACAATATCCAAACAATCTGTGGAGCTTTTATTGCTGGCCCCGCCTTCCTTTTATTAATATTTTTAGTATACTATCTAGATCCCACCTTCTTAAGTCTGATAGGCTCTATCTGTTCTTTTTCATATTTTAAAAAACTCCCAAATTGTTTCTGACAAGGCACGACATCTCAGAACTACAGCCCTATGGGGATGGGGCTTAAGCAAAATGGGTGGAGTTAAGAAACTCAAACCCCAAGCTTCCTCCTCACTAGGGGTTTGGTGGTTGCCATGGTGGTTGAGCGCCGGTAAGGAGGAAAAGAACAAATTATGGCTATAAAAAATTCCATAAAATGCTGATAAGACACAGAATAATCCACCTAGATAGAAGAGAGAGCACCATCTTCCACAAGGTCTGGGTAGTTCACGCCACAACAGAACATAGACTAGAAACCCAGAGGAAGAACCATATCAACTTAAAAACAAATTCAGACAAGGAAGAATTTGTCAGACTTCACAGCCCGTAACTTCCAGGCCCTCAAAATTATTCGCACCAAATCAGAGTCTCCTCACTCCAAGGAAGTCAAAAAGCCGTACAAAACAGTCAAGGTCACCAAGTGATAGCCCCCTTCCACCCACCCACTACACAACACGATTCCACTACCAGTTCCCCCTGTAGCACCAACTCCGGACACCAAACGCTAACAGTGGTTCATTTACAGTCCCTCTGGTGCTCCTCCGATCAGTCTTTCCTACCACCTAAGAATTAAAACATCATATGGGAATCTCATTGTTTACATCGCAGAGCTGAACTAGGAACCTTAGCTCTACCCTCCTGCCCTGAATCAAACTTTTAATGTTAGGAAAAAACAATCCCTGCACCAACAAACACCACACACAACCCACCCACCCAAAGAAAGCAAAAGACTTAATGACATGCCCTGGGCATTAGGAACCTGCACACACGGGAGAGTGATCCCTTTACCCTTCTCTGGGAATCCCCGTTGCCAGTCCCTTAAGCGCTCCGTCACCATGGCAACCCTACAGGGCGCTAGAGGTGTCCGTGAATCCCCCCTAAAAGGCTAACAGACCGCCGCTAGATACCAGACCCACCAAACGCCAAACCTGCTGTTCAACCTCACTCCACTCCACCGTCAAACTAGCTCTGCCTGACTCGGTTAAGACTGGGCCACGGCGGCATTAATAGCGTATAAATTGACAACCTGTATTCCCCTCCACGAGCAGTAGCCGAGCCGCCACCACCGTTCCAAAACCGTCGCTCAATTCCCTCCGCGCGACCGAGTCGACAGCTGCGCCGCAACAGCAGCGCGCCGGGGCCGCTCAGTACTCCCAACACGGCGCCCCACACCCCTGTGCCGCCGCCCTGCAACATCCCCTTCCCACACGCGGCTCGCGGAAACGTACTTATTGTGGGGAGTCACGTTTTGCAGCATCTTGACCGCAAGGAACCGGCGCTGCCCTCAGCCGCGGAAAGTCCGGGTGGCCTCGGTTCCCCTCACCGCCCGGTCCAGCATAACCCGCTAAGTTGGGGGGAGGCCGTTCCTCTTGGGCCTCCAGGCGACAAACCCCCTGCCTGGCCGGCACGAAAGCAGTCTCTTTGGGGCCTCTCGGAGAGCTCCGGGCAGCTTGGCGCGCTCTGCAGACGGCGGACAGCAAGAAAATGGCGGCGGCCTCAGCTGAGGCGGGCAACTAAGGAGGGACTGACTCTTCAAAAGACGGTCCCCGATCTCAGACACCGTCGTCAATATAGCCCGCTGTTGGTCTGCAGGGATTCCCTCTTCTTGTCGGGCCCCTACGGGGCCGACGAGGTCCCGTTTCGATCTCGGATGGAGGCGGATGAACACGAAAAGTGGTTTAGGGAGCCGCCGCCTCCATCTTTGAAATCCTCTTGAGGGCGGAGTAGAGGGGGTGGACAGACTCCGAGGATTGGGCGGGGCCCGAAAAAGGGGAGCTCCAGGGGCTTCTAGGGGGTCTGTACTGCCCGCTGGGACCAGTCATAGGCCGGGACGAAGGCCATTTCCAAGCGGATGGAGGTGGATTGTAATGGCGGCCCCGGACGACTCGAAGGCTCTGTATCGGTAGGCAGAATCCTCCAGCTCGTTCTAGAGGCTGCTCCACTCCAGCACGAAATGGCGCCGCCGAGCCCCGCGCCAGCCCTTTATATATAGGCGGGGAGGAGGAGCTTCGCCGCTCATGCGCGCCACCCTGCTTGAGATTTTCCCCACCCCCTCCGCGCGCGCGCGCTCGCTCACGCGGGTGAAGAAGCTGAGTCGAAGGGGAAGGAACACCTCTCCGCGGGAGCTTTTTCTATTGGCC